>NC_000011.10:123839091-124142121 GCF_000001405.40 Homo sapiens | reverse complement strand
CAAGGTCCTATATGATATCCTAATGAACCTAGCTAGGCTGACCCTGGGAAACATAGGGGCGGAACAAATCTGACCTTCTGCCCAGTGCTTTTCAAACAGATGAACTCCTGGGTAAAGAAAGCCACAGGCAGCAGAACATTGAAGGCTAGTTTGTCAGTCCCTATAGATTGCAGGGGTGAACCGAGGCCTGCCTCATCTGCATGGTAAGTTTCCAGGCTGGTTCTGTGGGTGGAGGAATGAATCTTTTCCAATGCATGGGGGGTCCCTTCGAGAAACATGCATCTCTTGTCATAGCTGTAACTACAAGCTTTTAGCTTGCCTAGTCCTGTATATGTGACAGAAAAACATTGTTGAGAAAATGTTCCTATAAAGGTACTCACCTGGACTGTGCTGGTCCTTGTGACTTATCAACCCACAGAGACTGTAATCGTCCATCTGGAATGTCTTGGCCTTATAACACATAAGTTCCCCTCTGGGCTGAGATGCAGAAGGAGGACGGTCAGAGTGTAAGGCCTTTCGAAAACCTGAAAAAATCCAAACATTAAGACAGTGGCACTCCCTGCTCTCTGCAGTGGGCAAAGGACTGTGACAATTCAAGATACATACCCCCCCATCCACACTGGCTTCAGTCACCACCCTTACTGTGCTATTTTTCTCTCATATGCCCACCTCCTGCGCAAACCCTCACCCTCTGAGCTCTCCTTCTACTGTGTCCTCTGGAACCCCTGGCACATGCTAAACAATTTTTCCTGCATCTTTAGTTTTACTACAGGAGGCTTCTGCCAGCTAAGTCTCAACTTAAAACTGAATTTATCCTCCCAAAAAACTATTCTCCCTCCATCACTCTCAAATGGTTGTTGCTCAATGTACCACACTTCAAGTAGGGAGGTAGGGTTGGCAACCTCTTCAGTCCCTGATGCTGCATCCAGATCATTAAATGCGGTTTACCTTCCACATGTCGTCACTATTGTCTACTTCCAATCTCTTTGTTATTTCCGATCATTCATTAAAGTATCTGAAAACTAGACCATAGACTTCCACTCCATTAAAAGGCCTACCATCATCTTGAGATTTCATCACCCATGTAGATAGCCTATAAAATACCCTAATGCAAAGCTTCTTCAACTTCATCAAATCCAATGACTTCCACTTCATTCTACTTCTGCCACTTCCTCCCAAGCCATGAAGACCTTGTTATTATGCAGAATTGTTCCACTCATAGAAAATAAATTGAAGCTGGGCACAGAGATTCATGCCTGTAATCCTAACACTTCAGGAGGCTGAGGTGGGAAGATCACTTGAGCCTACAAACTTGCTACCAGCCTGGACAAAGTAGCAAGACCCCATCTTTATAAAAAGTTTTAAAAATTATCTGGGCACGGTGACATGTGCCTAGAGTCCCAGGCAGAAGGATCACGCAAGGCCAGAAGTTTGAGACCAGCCTAGGCAATGTAGTGAGACCTCATTTCTAAATAATATGAAAATTAAAAATTAGCCAGGCATGGTGGTGCATGTCTAGAGTCCTACCTACTCAGGAGGCTGAGGTGGGAGAATCACTTTAGCCCAAGAGATCGAGGCTGCAGTGAACTACAATCACACTACTGCACTCCAACCTGGGCAGCAGAGTGAGATCCTGACTCAAAAAAAAAAATTTAAAAATTCCTAGTTTTAAAATATAATATCTGATTTTTTCAGTTTTCTAAGTTAGAGATTTCTGTTTTACCTGATCTTTGACCTCATCTGGACTACTAAGTTCTTGACTTCTCTACTTTTTTTCCTATATGTCAGCTTGCTTCCATCAAGCTCTCTAGTGTTACCCTAAAAACAAGCTTCCTAGCATTACCCTGACACCAAAACCAGATACAACAACAAAAGTAAAGTTACAGGCCAATATCCTTGATTAACATAGATGCACAATCCTCAACAAAATATTAGCAAACCACATTCAGAAGTACGTTAAAATGATCATGCATCATTATCAAATGTGATTCATCCAAGAGATGAAAAGTTGGTTCAATAAACATAAATTGATAAACATGGATCACGCTAACATAAAAAAGGACAAAAACATGATCATTTCAATAGATGCAGAAAAAGTATTAAACAAATTCAACATCATGATAAAAACTCTCAACAAAATAGGTATAGATGTAAGGTACCTCAACATAATAAAGACAATTATGGCAAACTCACACCTAATATCATATTGAAGAGGGAAAAGTTGAAAGCATTTCCTCTAAAATCAGAAACAAGACAAGGATGCTGACTTTCACCACTTCTATTCAATATAGTACTGGAAGTCCTAGCCAGTGCAATTAGGCAAGAGAAATAAATAAAAAGAATCTAGATTGGAAAAGAGGAAGTTAAACTACACCTGTTTGCAGATGACATGATCTTAAACATAGAAAACCCTAAAGACTCTACCAAAAAAAAAACACCTGTTAAATAGAATAAACAAACTCAGCAAAGTTGAAGGACATAAAATCAACATACAAAAGTCATTAGTGTTTCTATACACAAACAGCAAGCTCTCTCAAACAGAAATCAAGAAAACAATCTCATTTGCAATGGCTACAAAATAATTAAAACATTTAGGAATAAATTTAACTGAGGAGGTAAAACATCTCTATACTGAAAATTGTAAGACATTGATGAAGGAAATTGAAGAAGACACAAATAAATGTAAAGATATCTCATGTTCTTGGATTGGAAGAATAAATATTGCTAAAATGGCCATAATACCCAAAGCAATTTACAGATTCAATGCAATACCTATGAAAATATCAAAGACAACCTTCACAGCATTAAAAAATCGTAAATTTGTATGGAATTATAAAAACATAGTCAAAGTAACCTTGAGAAAACACACACACACACACACACACACACACACACAAACAAAATGCTGGAGGCATCATACTATCTGACTTCAAAATATACTACAAAGCTATAGTAACCAAAACAGCATGGTACTTGCATAAAAACAGACACTGACCAATGCAACAGAAATGGAGAGCCCAGAAATAAATCCACACATTTACAGCCAACTAATTTTTGACAAAAGTGCTAAGAACACAATAGGTAAAAGACAGTCACTTTAATAAATGGCATTGGGAAAACTGGATACACACATATGAAAGAATAACATTAGACCCTTATCTCTCATCACATAGAAAAACCAACTCAAATGAACTAAAGGCTTAAGTGTAAGAGGTGAAACTGTGAAACAACTAGAAGAAAACATAAGGGAAAATATCTATGACATTGGTCTGGGCAATGATTTTTGGATATGACCTCACAAGCACAGGCTACAAAAGCAAAAAATAGATAAACGAGGTTACCTCTTGTGTATAGCAAAGAAAACAATCAACAGGGTGAAGAAACAACCTACGGAATGGGAGAAAATATTTGCAAACCAAACATCTGATAAGGGTTTAATATATACAAAGTACAGAAGGAATTTAACTCAAAACCAAGAAAGCAAATAACCTTATTTAAAAATGGACAAAAGACTTGAGTAGACACTTCTCAAAAGAAGACATACAAATGGCCAATAGGTATATGAAAAAATGTTCAGCATTACCAATCATCAGGAAATTGCAAATCAAAACCACGATGAGATATCACCTCATACCTGTCAGAATGGCTATCATCAAAAAGACAAAAGATAACAAGTACTGGTGAGGATATGGGGAAAAGGGAATGCTTGCACACCATGGTGAGAATGTAAATTAGTATAGCCATTGTGGAAAACTGTGGCTCCTTAAAATGTTAAAAATGGAGGTACTATATGATCCAGCAATCCCACTGCTGGATATATACCCAAAAGAAAAGAAATCAGTAATATCAAAGAGATATCAGCACTATTCACAATAGCCAAGTCATGGAATCAACCTAGGTATCCATCAGTGGATGAATGAATGATGAAAATGTACTATATATACACAATGTAACATTATTCAGCCATAAAAAAGAACAAAATTCTGTTATTTGCAACAACATAGATGAACTTGGAGAACATTATGTCAAGTGAAATAAGCCAGCCACAGCCTGGATAAAATGGCAAAACCCCATCTCTACGAAAAATACAAAAAAATTAGCTGGGCATGGTGGCATGCACCTGTAGTCCCAGCCACTCAGGAGGCTGAGGTGGGAGGATTGCTTGAGCCTGAGAGGTTGAGGCTGCAGTAAGCCATGATTGTGCCACTGCACTCCAGCCTCGGCAACAGAGTGAGACCCTGTCTCAAAAACAAAGAAGGAAAATAAGTCCAGAACAAATATATAAAGACAGGATAGGCAAATGTATAGAGATAGAAAGTAGGTAAGTGATTACTGGGACTGGTGGAGAGGGGAGTGGAGGAGAAGATAGGTGGGGTCAGGGAGAGAAATGGGAAATGTCTGTTAATAGTTATGAAGTTTATTTCTTAGGTGATGAAAATGCTCTAAAATTGATTGTGGCAATCAATGGTTGCACAACTCTGTGAACATACTAAAACCCATTGGACTGTACACTTTAAATGGGTGAATTGTATGATATTTGAATTATATCTCAATAAAAAAGATAAATCAGCTTCAGATTAGGCAGTTTGGTTACTCAGGGTTTACCTGCACTTTCTACATTTTAATGTTTGTTTTTTGTTTTCTCTTGGATTATTTTAAATCTCCTTGCCAATGGGATGCATTCTAGTTCCCTGGGACAGAAAAATTTAACACTAACCAGAAATCCTAGATGTGGAGGTATAAGGAAAACAAAGCAATTTGAGAACATTTCACAGCCCTTTCCTTTAAATAATGTGCTCAGATAGTCAGAATCTTTTATTCTATATGAGTTTGAATGGAATAAAACTCATTACCTGATTGGCATTTTATCTTCAATGGGGCAGAAGCACCCAACAGAATTGGCCTTGGGACGTCCCTATGAGCCAGAGGCCCCTGAACCGGCTTGTTGAGCTCCTTATTGATAGCAATGAAAGCTGTGAAGGAGCTTATGACACCAGACTCAAGGCTAAGGTTCAATGCATCTTTTTTATCACTTGCTGGAGTCTCCCTGAGGCCCATGTCCTTGGTCTGGAGCAAGGACTTGGCAGCAAGGCGGTGAATGGTGAGGCTGAAAGGAAAAAAAAAAAAGTACTGAAATGTAGGGAAAGACATCCATATACCAGTTTCTCAGGGCTCCTAAAAGTTAGGAATAGAAGAGTTAAGATAAAGTCAGATAAGGGGAGAGAGAAGACTTGGGTGGTTTAGAAATAAAAAATGATTGTAGGAAAACAATTACAATGGAGCCCAGAATTAAGAGAAGAAATCTAATCCCCAAAGATGGCAGAGGAAAGAAGGAAGGAAGGAGGGAGGGAGGGAGGGAGGGAGGGAGGGAATGAAGGAAGGAAGGAAGGAAGGAAGGAAGGAAGGAAGGAAGGAAGGAAGGAAGGAAGGGAAAACTGAATTCTCACTTGACATCAGGCTTGGGTTGTAGAGGAAATGTCACCTTATCCTCAAAAGTCTTGCCCTGGAGTGTATATTTGAGGCATACTTCTCCTGTTGTCTCTGCTGCCTGCAAATTAGAGATGAGTAGAAATGACGGAACATGTAATGTTCTGATCATCCATGGAAGGATCAGAACAGGGGCAGGTACCCAAAACAATGTATGAAAATATCTGATGAAGAATCAGGTAGCCTAGGAAACCGGAGACCTGAAATGATGGGAAGGAAGTAGGCTAGCTATACTTGGCAAGTGCCGTCTCTGGCTGAGATTGAAATCCACCTACCAGCTTTAGTGGAATGGTCATGTGGTAGCTCTTTGACTAGAGGAACAAATAAGAATGGGAACTCACTGGCATCCTCCCGGTCAGCTGGGCATAGCTGATTAATCTCTGACCCCTAAAGATGACAGTCTGTTCTGGGGAAAGCATTTTAGCAGACAGACCAGGAGGCAAATGCCAGCTCAGAGAGACATCCTCTACCACAGGCTGCAGAGAGCGTTTCAGAGTCCTGAGAGCCTAATGTGGGGAAGAGAACAGAATAAACACAAATGATACAGACAATGGCAGCTACAATTAACTGGACATTTATTATGTATCAGATGTGATACATAATACATGTCATGCCTACTCCTCAATACTATTCTAGGAGATGGGCTTTATATATGAAGAAGCTTTGCATATGAATAAGCCAAAGCTGAAATATTTAGTAACGTAAATGTAAATAAAGAAAATGTTTGAGTAACGAGACCCTTGGAGAAGGGGATTAGATAAAGGTGGCACCTACTGGGAAAGAGGAGCTTAGAAATACCACCAGAGGCCGGGCGCGGTGGCTCACGCCTGTAATCCCAGCACTTTGGGAGGCCGAGGCGGGCGGATCACGAGGTCAGGAGATCGAGACCATCCCGGCTAAAACGGTGAAACCCCGTCTCTACTAAAAATACAAAAAATTAGCCGGGCGTAGTGGCGGGCGCCTGTAGTCCCAGCTACTCAGGAGGCTGAGGCAGGAGAATGGCGTGAACCCGGGAGGCGGAGCTTGCAGTGAGCCGAGATCCCGCCACTGCACTCCAGCCTGGGCGACAGAGCGAGACTCCGTCTCAGAAAAAAAAAAAAAAAAAAAAAAAAGAAATACCACCAGAGGGGTCTTCTCCTTTTGCAGAAAGATGAAATGGAATAGCAATTTACTACCTCTTCCGATCCATTAGACATATCATGATTATTCCTTCTCCTTTTCTTTGTATCTTTTGCATGGAGGATGCATGTAGTACAAAAGAGGTTCTAAAGCGCAGACCTAGAATCTCAGTCTTGACAGTCAAAGCTCTTAGTTTGTCTGTGTCTGGTCTTAAATGCAAAGGCCCAGATCCCTGTCAGCATCTTGTCTCTGAGCTTGCAGCTACTGGGACCAGATGTCATATTTCCAGATACTACAGTGGGCTTCTATTACATGAGGCCAAAAGTAGCCTGACTAAGTATACAGCCTAAGGCCTTGGGGATATAGGAACAGGTATCCTGGAGGAAAGTTGCTACCCCTGCCCTTACACAGTGTTCCCCACCCCGTTCCACTTTGGTCTGGATTGCCACCTCCAGACAGACACAGTCAGTCTGTCCCTCACCTTGGACTGCATCCTGTCTTTGCCTGTGATAAATTCTGAGGTGCCCCCTGATGCCCGGGCAATACCTTTTATTAGGCTGGTGGAGGTGCCTTCTCCAATACCAAATGAGAAACACCTGCAATTGTAACAGGACAGAGGTTAGAGGAAGGCATTAAACAGTGAAAATATAAAATTAATACATAATGGCCAAAAATACATAAGGAAATAGTCTACTTTCTTGACCAAAAGTGTAACAGCTACCATTTACTGAGCATATTCTATATTTTAGGAGGTATAAAAATGCCTTAAATCAATGATGCAATTTAATCATCACAAGACCCCTAAAAGGCAGGCTTCTGCTTCACTTTGCAGATAAGAAATGGAGGCCCAGGAAATTTAAGAAATCTTTCCAAGATCATGCAACTACTAAATGATAGCAATGTCACTGGAGCACTGATCTGTCTTACTGCAAGATCTCTCTGGCAAACTAACAGAAAGATAGAAACTAACACCAGTTCCTACCTAATGATGTGCTGGTACCATATCTCCCCTAGCAAGACTATTCTTAGAGAAAGGAAGTGTGCCTCCTGCACTTCTAAATGGAGAGTTCTTGCCCTGCCTTAGTCCATGTGCACCAAGTAACTTCTTAAACATAATGCGATTTCCCAAATAGAATTATATATAAACAAAGAATACATTGGTAGTACTAGCACAGGCGCTTTTGGAAGGCATGACAGACAGAGTTTTCATTGTAAATTAATACCCTGCAATTTTGGTTTATGTATCAGTCTTTCTTAGTGTGAGCCATCATCCCCAAGTCTAGTGGCATCAGCATTAGGATCAATGCTCTACGCTTGTAAGACTCAGGAACAGACTTCTAACTGGACCTACGTGTAACAATACTTCCTAAATACTATAGCCTGACAGCATCTTGATATCACAACCTTTAAATTTCTAACATGATCTTTGAATTGTAGCCTATGTTATAAAGTGCTGTTATATTTTTAAGGTCTTTTGTATAAAATCAAAACTAAACAATATTGGCTGGGTGTGGTGGCTCACACTTTGGGAAGCCAGTGCCAGGAGTTCAAGAGCAGCCTAGGCAACAAAGTGACAGACCCGGTCTCTAAACAATCAAACAACAACAACAAAAATATATTGATGACTAACTAGAACTCACGACAGTGCTGCATGTGGATGATAATAAAAATTAAAATATTACAATAATAGCAAAATTTTATATAGCACTTACTTTTTATCTAGCACAGTTCCTAATACTTTCCCTAAGTATACTCTTTTAACCATAACAATAAATCTGTAAAGTGAGTACTATTAGGTTTCTAATTTTCATGTGAGGAAACTAAGGCATGGAGAGATGAGCTGATTCATCTTCTGCAGGCAAGCAGAAGAACTGTAACTTAAATCAATGACTTCTGACTTAAAATATAACACCCTAGGAAAGTTCTGCTCACAGCAATGCCACTGTAAATTGTTTCAAGCCAGCAAAGAACTAGGAAAGCTGTATACAATATTTACAATAATTTGTTTGAAAACATCAAAGGTCTACCAAGATAAAAATCTATAGGCCAAGACCTGGGAGAAGAGAGAAGCCAAGAGAATTGAGCCCAGCATCTGATGTTCCTTGACCCTTTGAAGCAAGTGCCAAGTACAAAAGCAGATGACTTAAAACCTAAGTGGTTACACGCAGGCGGGAGGAACAAAATATCAATTTGCACTTTCCACAGCCAAAGTGTTCTTGTAAACAACTAAGAATTTAGGATAAAACCCTAAAGGACTACATCCCAGAGGTAGAGGTGAATCAGAAATAGACCAGCCATCACCGCGACTGAAGTTCATCAGACCCTGACTGGATTAACATTATCTGTTCCCAGTCTATCCAGCGACCATTCAGAAGCAAAGAATGAAAAGAATGAATCCTCTCAGAGGGAAGACATCATCTAGAGGAACATCTAATTTCTATAATTTTTTCTTTGACAACTAACAAAAATAGAAAATCCTCTAATATTGGGAAATTAGGCACTGTACTTGTGAATTATACAAGCTTAAAAAAGAAATCATAATGATAATTGGAAAATATTAAGTGGATGACAATGGCAAATGTCATATCCATATTTAAAATTCAGCTACAGATGTGCTTAGATCTATAGCTCTGAATATACACATTAGAAAAGAAAGTCTAAAAATCAACTATCAAGCATCTGTCTCAAGATGTTAAAAAAGGATGGCCAATGAACCCAAGGAATGTAAAAGAAAGAAAATAATAAAGATAGATTCGAGCAGATATTAATGAAATAGAAAACACTTATATGATAGAAAGTACCAACAAACCCAAAGGTGCTGGTGTTTTGAAATTATTATTAAAATTGATAAATATCCAGTGCAAGGAAAGAAATATTAATAGAAAAGGCACAAATAACCAACATTAGGAAAGAAGAGGTAATATCGCTATATATTCTACAAAATTTAATAACATTATTAGGCAATATCATGGACAATTTCATGCAAAGAACTTCAATAAAATATACAAACTTTTATAAAAAATAAGAACACATAAAATATGAATAGTTCAAAACAAAAACTTTCTCAAAAAAATCCAGGCCAAGAGAGCTTTGCTGGCAAATTCTAATAAATATTTATGAAAGAAAACCTTTTGGAGCAAGGAAAAAAGGCAACCTTCACAGCTCATTTTATGATACTAGCATAAAATTGATATCAAAACCTAACAAGATAAGACAATATATGTCAATATTTCCCATGAAAATAGATTCAAAATCCTGAAAAAAGTATTATCCAACTGAATGAAAAAATATATGAAAGAGATTAATACATCACAACTACTTTGGGTTTATTCCAGAAATTCAAGGTTGGTCTAACATTTAAGAATTATCATTAGAATTCACACTTTAAAAGAATAAAGGATAAAATCACACATTCATCTAAACAGATGCATAAAATACATTTGATGAAATTTAACAATCATTAATTATTCAAAACAAAAGAAAGAAAAGAGAGAAAAGAACCCTCAAAACAGAAATAAAAGGGAATTTCCTTAATCATAGAAAGGATAACTACAAAAAAAGGGAAACCCTTACAGCAAACACCATACTTAATCGTGCAAAGTTGAAATGTTCCCTTTGAGGTCCAGAATAAAATAAGGATATGATCATTTTGATTCAGATTTCTGTTAGAGGTTCTCTCCAGGCTAATCCAGAAGGGAAGAAAATTTTTTAAAAAAAAATAAGAAAAAGAGAAAATTTTAAAAAATAAGAAAAATAAAACTGATATTTTTTGCAAATGTGATTCTTCATAGAATATCTAAAAGAGTCTGCAAATATATAATTTAATTAATATCTAAATTAATTAACATCATTAAATACAAGTCAAGGTAAAACAAGCTATTAAAATTCATTTCTATATGGAAATAAACATCCAGTAAATAAAATTATTAAAAAATACTATTTAAAGTAGCATCAAACACCTAGGGAAACAATTTAATAAAAAAATGCATGAAGCCCTCTACACAGAGAATTATAAAATATTACAGAGAGATTTTGTGTGTACAGAAGGCTTCCCTTATCTGCAGTTTTACATTCTATAGTTTCAGTTATGTGCGGTCCACTGCAGTCCAAACATATTAAATAAAAAAATTCCAAAAATAGACAATTCATACATTTTAAATTGCATCCCATTCTGAGTCGCATGATGAAATCTTATGCCATGCTGCTCAATCCCACCCTGGACATGAATCCTCTTTATCCAGCATCTCCATGCTATCTGTATTACCGTTAATCACTTAGTAGCAGCCTCAGGTATCAGATAGATATTTATAATTTATAAATTAAATTTCATCATAAGTATGTATGTATAAAAAAATTGGTACATATACGGTTTGGTATAGTATCCACAGTTTCAGGCGCCCACTAAGAGTCTTGGAAGGTATACCTGATGGATAAGGGTGGACTACTTATAGGTAGATTGAAGAAATGAGTATGTTTACTGATTTTGCTGGAAGCTAGGTTTATCTCACTGTAGAAAAGAAGACATAAATACAGAATTGGAGAAAAGAGGAAGAATGCTACACTGCTACCTTTGAAGCAGGGGCATAAGTAAAAATTTCAGAATTTTTTAAAAACATTTGCCAGTTCTGTCTGTTGAAAATGCCAAGAATAAATAACAGCCCAATAGTAAGGAACAGACGTAACACTCAAATATTGATTTTTATTTATTGCTTTCACTAAAAACAATATTCACTAAAAACTATTTCTTCAAGGGCTTTTTGATAAAAAACGACAAAGAAGGGCATTACATAATGGTAAAGGGATTAATGCAACAAGAAGAGCTAACTATCCTAAATATATATGCACCCAATATAGGAGCACACAGATTCACAAAGCAAATTCTTAGAGACCTACAAAAAGACTTAGACTCCCACACAATAATAGTGGGAGACTTTAACACCCCACTTTCAATATTAGACAGATCAATGAGACAAAAAACTAACAAATATATTCAGGACTTGAACTCAGCTCTGGACCAAGTGAAGCTAATAGACATCCACAGAACTCTCTGCCCCTAATCAACAGAATATACATTCTTCTCAGCACCACATCACACTTACTCTAAAATTGACCACATAATTGGAAGTAAAACACTCCTCAGCAAATGCAAAATAATGGAAATCATAACAAACTGTCTCTCAGACCACGGTGCAATCAAATTAGAACTCAGGATTAAGAAAGTCATTCAAAACCGCACAACTACATGGAAACTGAACAACTGCTCCTGAATGACCACTGGGTAAATAACAAAGTTAAGGCAGAAATAAATAAGTTCTTTGAAACTAATGAGAACAAAGACACAATGCACCAAATTTCTGGGACACAGCTAAAGCACTGTTTAGAGGGAAATTTATAGCACTAAATGCCCACAGAACAAAGCAGGAAAGATCTAAAATCGACACCCTAACATCACAATTAAATAGAACTAGAGAAGCAAGAGCAAACACATTCAAAAGCTAGCAGAAGAAAAGAAATAACTAAGATCAGGGCAGAACTGAAGGAGATAGAAACAGAAAAAACCCTTCAAAAAATCAATGAATCCAGGAGCTGGCTTTTTGAAAAGATTAACAAAATAGACTGCTATCCAGACTAATAAAGAAGAAAAGAGAGAAGAATCAAATAGACACAATAAAAGTGATAAAGGGAGTATCACCACTGATCCCACAGAAATACAAACTACCATCACAGAATACTATAAACAGCTGTATGCAAATAAACTAGAAAATCTAGAAGAAATGGATAAATTCCTGGACACATACACCCCCCACCCCAAGACTAAACCAGGAAGAAGTCGAATCCCTGAATAGACCAATAACAAGTTCCGAAATTGAGGCAGTAATTAATAGTCTACCAACCAAAAGAAGCCCAGGACCAGGAGGATTCACAGCTGAATTCTACCAGAGGTACAAAGAGGAGCTGGTACCATTCCTTCTGAAACTATTCCAAACAAAAGAAAAAGAGGGAATCCTCCCTAACTCATTTTATGAAGCCAGCATCATCTTAATACCAAAACCTGGCTGAGACACAACAAAAAAAGAAAATTTAAGGCCAATATCCGTGATGAACATGGATGTGAAAATCCTCAATAAAATACTAGCAAACCGAATCCAGCGGCACATCAAAAAGCTTATCCACCATGATCAAGTCAGCTTCATCCCTGGGAGGCAAGGCTAGTTCAACATATGCAAATCAATAAATGTAACCATCACATAAACAGAACCAATGACAAAACCCACATGATTGTCTCAACAGATGCAGAAAAGGCCCTCGATAAAATTCAACACCCTTTGTGCTAAGAACTCTCAATAAACTAGGTATTGATGGAACATATCTCAAAATAATAAGAGCTATTTATGACAAACCCACAGCCAATATCACACTGAATGGGTAAAAGCTGGAAGCATTCCCTTTGAAAACGGGCACAAGACAAGGATGCCCTCTCTCACCACTCCTATTCAACATAGTATTGGAAGTTCTGGCCAGGGCAATCAGGCAAGAGAAAGAAATAAAGGGTATTCAAATAGGAAGAGAGGAAGTCAAATTCTCTCTGTTTGCAGATGACATTATTGTCTATTTAGAAAACCTTATCGTCTCAGCCCAAAATCTGTTTAAGCTGATAAGCAACTTTAGTAAAGTCTTAGGATAGAAAATCAATGTGCAAAAATACAAACATTCCTATACACCAATAATAGACAAACAGAGAGCCAAATGATGAGAGAACTCCCGTTTACAATTGCTACAAAGGAATGAAATACCTATGAATACAACTTACAACGGATGTGAAGGACCTCTTCAAGGAGAACTAAAAACCACCGTTCAAGGAAATAAGAGAGGACACAAACAAATAGAAAAACATTCCATGCTCATGGATAGGAAGAATCAATATTGTGAAAATGGCCATACTGCCATCAAGCTACCATTGACTTTCTTCACAGAATTAGAAAAAACTACTTTAAATTTCATATGGAACCAAAAAAGAGCCCATATAGCCAAGACAATCCTAAGCAAAAAGAATAAAGCTGGAGGCATCACGCTACCTGGCTTCAAACTATACTACAAGGCTACAGTAACCAAAACGGCATGGTACTGGTACCAAAACAGATATATAGACCAATGGTACAGAACAGAGGCCTCAGAAATAATGACACACATCTACAACCATCTAATCTTTGACAAACCTGACAAAAACAAGTAATGGAGAAAGGATTTCCTATTTAATAAATGGTGTTGGGAAAACCAGCTAGCCATATGCAGAAAACTGAAACTGGATCCCTTCCTTAAACCTTTTACAAAAATTAACTCAAGATGGATTAAAGACTTAAACATAAGACCTAAAACCATAAAAACCCTAGAAGAAAACCTAGGCAATACCATTCAGGACATAGGCATGGGCAAATACTTCATGACTAAAACACCAAAAGCAATGGCAACAAAAGTCAAAATTGACAAATGGGATCTAACTAAACGAAAGAACTTCTGCACAGCAAAAGAAACTATCATTACAGTGAACAGGGAATCTACAAAATGGGAGAAAATTTTTGCAATCTATCCATCTTACAAAGGGTTAATGTCCAGAATCTACAAAGAACTTACAAATTTACAAGAAAAAAACAAACAACCCCATCAAAAAGTGGGCAGAGGATATGAACAGACACTTTCCAAAAGAAGACATTTATGTGGCCAACAAACATGAAAAAAAGCTCCTCATCACTGGTCATTAGAGAAATGCAAATCAAAACCACAATGAGA
Source organism: Homo sapiens (assembly GCF_000001405.40). Lineage (NCBI taxonomy): Eukaryota > Metazoa > Chordata > Mammalia > Primates > Hominidae > Homo > Homo sapiens. The sequence continues at coordinate 124,127,727 of NC_000011.10, read as the reverse complement.
TACCATCTCACGCCAGTTAAAATGGTGATCATTAAAAAGTCAGGAAACAACAGATGCTGGAGAGGATGTGGAGAAATAGGAAACCTTTTACACTGTTTGTGGGAGTGTAAATTAGTTCAACCATTGTGGAAGACAGTGTGGGGATACCTCAAGGATCTAGAACCAGAAATATCATTTGACCCAGCAATCCCATTACTGGATATATACCCAAATGATTATAAATCATTCTACTATAAAGACACATGCACACATATGTTTATTGCAGCACTGTCACAATAGTAAAGACTTGGAACCAACCCAAATGCCCATCAATGATAGACTGGATAAAGAAAATGTGGCACATATGCACCATGGAATACTATGCAGCCATAAAAAAGGATGAGTTCATGTCCTTTGCAGGGACACGGATGAAGTTGGAAACCATCATTCTCAGCAAACTAACACAGGAACAGAAAACCAAACACTGCATGTTCTCACTTATATGTGGGAGTTGAACAATGAGAACACATGGACACATAGAGGGGAACATCACTCACTGGGGCCTGTCAGGGGGTGGGGGGCTAGGGGAGGGATAGAATTAGAAATATCTAATGCAGATGATGGGTTGATGGGTGCAGCAAACCACCATGGCACATGTATACCTATGTAACAAACCTGCATGTTCTGCACATGCATCCCAGAACTTAATAAAAAGAACATAATGAAAAATTGACAAATATGGCCTGCATTTAGATAATGTGTTATCTCAACTTTAAATGTCTTGAATTTAATAGTTGTATTGTGATGTAGCAGAATGTTCTTGTTCATAGATGAGTGCATAAGTGTTTATATATGAAGGGTTATGACATCTGTGGTTTGCCCTCAAATATTTCAGACAAAAAACATAGCTGAAACAAATGTGGTAAAAGGTTGACAACTGGTAGACCCGGGTGAAGGTTATATGGTGTCCATTGTTCTTTTTTTTTTTTCAAGAAGGATTCTTGCTCTGTCACCCAGGCTGGAGTGCAGCGGTGTGATCTCGGCTCACTGCAACCTCTGCCTCCTGGGTTCAAGCAATTCTCCTGCTTCAGCCTCCTGATAGCTGGGATTACAGGCACACACTACCATGCCCTGGCTAATTTTTGTATTTTTAGTAGAGACAGGGTTTCACCATGTTGGCCAGGTTGGTCTCAAACTCCTGACCTCGTGGTCTGCCTGCCTCGGCCTCCCAAAGTGCTGGGATTACAGGACTTCAATCACTGCGGCCAGCCCCCATTGTTGTATTTTTGCAAGATCTCTATATGTTTAAGGTTTCTTAATAAAATGTTGGAAACAAACACTTCGAGAAATCAGAAAAGACCAAAGTAAATGAAAGGATATACTATGTAAATAGACTGGAATGCTCAATATAGTAAATAGTAAGTCCTGCTTAAATAGATCTAGTCAATGCAGTTCTAGCCAATATACCAATAGGTTTCCTTTTTTGGTAAAAACTGACAAGCTAATGCTAAAATACAAATACTAAGAGTCAAGTGTAATCAAGACAGTCTTGGTTATGAAATGAACAAAATTGAGGACTTATCACTATTGGAAACCAAGATTTATCATGAACCTGTACTAATTTATATGGTGTAGTTCTAGCACACGTCTAGATGAATAGACCAATGCAATGGAACAGAGGACCCAGAAACAATGTACATGTATACAGGTGCTTATTGATGACAGAGATGACACTGTGCATTACTGAGAAAAGGACAAACTTTTCCATAAATGGAATAGGGTCAATTTGATATCCACATTACAAAAATACGAAACTTTGGATAGGGAAAGACTTTTTAACAGGACACAGAAAACACTAACCATAAAGGAAAAGACTGAAAAATATCAAACTACATTAAAATTAACAACTATTACTCAAATACATTTTGAAGCTAAGAGCAAACTATAGAGTATTTCTAGAACATACAGTCAACAAAGAGCTTGTATCCAGACTACAGAATGAACTATATAGATCAATAAGAAAATCAATCTAATAGAAATAAATAAGTAACAGGAAAAAGACTTGAAAGCACATCACAAAAGAGGACATCCAACTGGCGGGTAAATATGAAGTGGTGCTAAACTTCATTCATCAGCAGGAAAATGTAAGTTAAAACCATAATAAGGGGCCTGGCACGGTGGCTCACGCCTGTAATCCCAGCACTTTGAGAGGCCAAGGCGGGCAGATCAAGAGGTCAGGAGATCGAGACCATCCTGGCTAACACGGTGAAACCCCATCTCTACTAAACATACAAAAAAATTAGCTGGGCGCGGTGGTGGGCACCTGCAGTCCCAGCTACTTGGGAGGCTGAGGCGGGAGAATGGCGTGAACCCAGGAGGCGGAGATGGCAGGGAGCCGAGATAGCGCCACTGCAGTCCGGCCTGGGCGAAAGAGCGAGACTCCATCTCAAGAAAAAAAAAAAAAACCATAAGACACCACGACACACACACAAAACTAAAATTTAAAGACAAACAATATCATGTTTTGGATAGGAAATTAGGCGATTGGAACACTCCTACAATTTAATGAATTAAATTAGTACAATCATTTGGAAAAATGTTTGGCATTCCCTAGAAACTCCACAATTCTGTCTACTCAGAGAAAAATCTACGTATATAAATAGGTATGTATGCATATACACGTGTGTGCAAAACAATACATGTACAAGAATACAAAACTGTTCACAGCAGCATCATTTTTAACAGCCAAATCGAAGTCCAACAGCATTAAAATCAATATATAAATTATGGCATAGTCATTTTGTGGAATACTATACATCAATGAAAATGAACTATGGCTATACTCAAAATGTATATGAATCTCTCAACACACTGCTGAAAGGAAAGAAATAATATACACAGAAACAAAAGCATACTGTATAACTTATTTATTTTCATTCAAAAACAAGCATAAATAACCCATGGTATTGTAAGTCAGGAAAGTTTTAGTGTGTAGTGACAGGGAATAGGACATGATGGAAAAGGGTACAGATGGAGAGGCCTACGACCATTCCAGTTTTTACCTATGTGGCGATCACACAGTGCATTCACTGTGATAATGAGTCCAGTTGTATGCTTATAATTTGTGTAGTTTTCAGCATGTTTTACTTCTCTAAAAATGTTTATAGTAAAAAAAATTAACATCTTACTATTCAATTCTTGTGTTCGTTGTAGTTTAGAAAGAATAAGAAACAATGGTTTTGCTGTGTTGTTGATGTTATTTGGAAAACTGTTTTTAACGTTTACAGGGAGAAATAAATTTTCAGCTGCTAAAACTAAATTCTGAAATCATTTGGTCCTCTTGAAGGAAGGTCAACACCGGCATCATGTAGCACTAGAGTCTGTGTGTCACTACTCAGCACCAATCACCCGGAAATCACATTTTCTTCCTACCTGTGTTTCTGTCTGTTGATCCTAACTTCTTTAATTACACTAAACGTGTCTGTAACTTCTCCATCTGTAAAGACAAAAAGCTATACAAAGAAAGAAAATGTTCATCAGGTCTTTGTCAAGTTCTTTTTAAGAAACCAGAATTTGCCCTTGAAAAATCCACCTATTTCATTGCAGAGGCTCTGGTGCCTCTTCAAAGAGGCATGAAATCCCTAATGTTTCAGTCGCTGGCACCACATTCTCACATGATCTGTTCAGAACCCTGGGAATTTTTAGCACCTCCCCTCCTAGCTGCATCTCAGTTATTGTGGCACTCCATAAAAGGCCTTCCAGTGTCCATCGCATGGAGTTAAGGAAGAAGACAAATGCATCATCTTTTTTTTTTCTGTTTACTATATGATAGAAGACTGTGAATTGCAAACTATATTTCAACATACTGCATGAAGCTCAGGGGCATAGATTCTTAGAGATTTCACACTTCCTGTCTCTTCTGTTAGCTCTGTTCCACTTCTTACCTGTAGGGGGTGGCCTGGGATGGAGGGTCCCCTGTAAATGTTCTGGAGTGGTGCCAAGATTTCAGTGCCCCCTAGGTCGGCCTGCATAAGCTTCACTCTCCCCAGAGCCTCCTCCATTGTTTGCTGAGTGTACTTCACACTCTCCCTGAGAAAAACAAACACACCCAGTTACATGAGGGTTACTTAACCTTGCCCAGTATAGAGTCCCTGAATTGAGAAACCCCCATTAAAAGAGAGTCTTATCCGAAACCCCCAATGCCAAAGTCAACTCCGCAGTAACCCCTTTAACAATTTAGTCCCTTTCTTTAAAGTCTCGTTTTGTACTCCCTATTGTCTTTCCAGAAACTTACGGAAAGCATGCCTCATAGGAAGAGCCAAATCCATAGATGTTGAAATAACAGCCTATAGGTAAACTCTTCAGCAGCAAAATCAGTGTTTCCTGAAGGTAAGAGAGTATGAAGAGACAGAGTGAGAGAGGCTCGCCAAAACACATGGGCCCTGTCAATCGACTCTTGAGGATGTGGGCCATCCCCCACCTTGTGCCTTCTTACATTCCAAGGCTAGCCTCAGGGTGGTCGTGCTGCTCTCTCAGGCTCCAGATAGACCCTTATTTAACCCCTCAGATTCATCCTCACTTGAGCATGTGACCCAGAAGAGGAAAGAAACTAGCTTTACCTTGGCTGCCTGTATTCGCAGCTGAGATGTATCCTGGCTACTCATGGGGCTCTGCATACTTCCCGAGCGGTCCATGAGAAAGATAAACTCTCCACAGGTATTTGATGGTTGATCTTCTGGGATATTTGGATAGAAACTCACCATTGCAGATGGATCTCCCATCAAATGACCTGTTCAGAAAGGATAAAGCCACTGTAAGACAAAAAGGAACTCAAGAATCCTAGTACCTAAGAATCAATGGTAGTGAATTCAATTAAGAGCTAGGAAAACTCAAATCTAAAACACTGTGATGATTCATGTACCATAACTGCTTGCAATGGGGTCAAGGTGAGTTATAAATATATAAGACAGACAAAAACAGAACAGATATGAAAGAGAAGAAAGAGGATAGAAGTTAGTAGACACAAGCAATAGTTAAAACATTGTCACTGATTACTAGTTTCCTGGCAGCTAGGCAAATGAATGAAATACATTAGGTTAAAATGTTCCAGCATTTGCCAAAAGAATCAGACAAGTTTATCTGCAGAATCAAACCTTTTCTTCAAATCAAATAAATGGGAAATGTATCACATGGGCCTTAAGTCTTTAATTACAGCTTTGAAAAAAGTGATACTCACATGGACAATTTTTAGGTTGACAATTTACAAGTGTTGAGAGTATAAGTATTATACCCACCAAGGTAAGTCTGTCTGCTTTGGGTGTGAATAACTCGCTGATAGTCCCCAGAAGAAAGGGAAACACTGAGACACATGTTGGATTCTATTATCATCATCCAAACAATGGTGTGGGGGTGACCACAGGAGCCCAGTCTATCTGGCCATGTTGTCAAAGCCACAGCTGTGACTATTTTTAGAAGCAAGTGAGGGCTGATACAGGAATTGAAATGCTAGTATTGAGATAGAGATGCAATGAGAATGGCTAGGTTAACTCCAGCTTTACAGAAAATATAAGAGGCTATATAATTAAATTCCTTTATCCCATTTTTAAGAAGCAGTTCCAGGATCATAGATTTATATTCTCAGTAGTCCTGGGATTTGGTATGACAATAGAATCTGGCTCAGTTTAATTTCTTCTCCATAGGATATGCCAGACACCAAACTGGCTTCTAAATAAGATGGGTGTTGCCCATCAAATATATGATAGGACACTAGTTCAAAAAATAACATTTACACAATCCAGATGTCTGGATATACGATGGAGGAGGAGCTTTTGTGATGAGCAAGATTCCTTTCCATTCTCAGAGACAGCTGGTTTAAATGGAGCTGGTGCTATATTGAGGAGTCAGAAAGGGTGGCATGAGTATGATATGGGGTAACATATTTAACCTGTTTACAACAATGCCAGATGAATTGTAAGCGTTATATGTGGATTATCTACTATAATTTTAGCCTGGCTCAAATTATTTTCACCTCCATGAGTCTCAGCTTCTTTGTTTTCAAATGAGGCATTTCAAACTTTAGCTCCTCTGCTTGCTAGCCTCATGTCTTCCTCTGAAAAGTCAAGGTAGTAACACCTACGTCAAGATTATTTTAAGCCGGGGTATCCAATCTTTTGGCTTCCCAGGGTCATATAAGAAGAAGAATTGTCTTGGGCCACACATAAAATACATTAACACTAACAATAGCTGATGAGCTAAAAAAAAAATCACAAAATAATTTCATAATGTTTTAAGAAAGTTTACAAATTTGTGTTGGTCTGCATTCAAAGCTGTCCTGGGCCACATGCAGCCCACAGACCATGAGTTGAACAAGCTTGATTGTAAGAGTTAAGTAATATAATGTACTTAAGGAACTCAGTTTAGGGCTCAACTCAGATTAAACCCATAATAACCAATATTATAAAATTATTTGTAAATTTTATTTTTATACAATTTTTAAATTAAATTATAAATTTAATTTTAGAAAAACATGTTCTTAATATCGTAAGTACATCTGTTCTAAGTCTGTAAAACAAATAACATACTGTGTTTTTGTCATATATCTGTAGGTTTCATTTGGCAGAACTCTGAATGGTTTCAGTGAGACAAGCTGCCGCTTAAAGCTGTCATTCGCTTCCTTGTGTGGATGAGAACAGCAAGTCATCTTGACTAAATATACGACCTGGGAAGCAAGACTTGAGCAGTCCTGCTGGAAGGGATTCACAAGACTGTAAAGACTGTCCCTGATGTCCCCCCTTGGCCTTCAGACCTGGTCATGGGGACTAGATGAGAAAATCTGCATAGGGGCCAGGGGAACTTCTTAGAAAAACAGGGACTGAGATCTCAATCCTTACCTTTTGAGATCCAACATTATGGAACTTTCTCTGGTGAAAACAGTCCTTTGAAATAATCTTAACTGACACGTAGGTCACTGTTATGGGAATATTTCATGGACACCCAAGGAAATAGTCACCATAAGGAAAGGAAAAAGCAGATAACTAACGTACAAAGACAGAGCATGGAGCTTCGTGGAAGAGGAGATGGTTACAGCAAATCTGGTGGAAGCTGGGAGCCCCTTGAATGACCTTAGCATGGAGAGCTTGCCCTGAGGAAGAGTGGTTGAACAAGTGAGGGAAAACTAAAAAGTTCAATTTGTGAGCTCAAGTATGAAGCTACTTTGGAAGCAAACATTAACAATGAGAGAGTAGGGTACTCTGTAGAAAAACAACTACAGGGAATTTTCTTGACAACAGCTATAATTGTAAAAACAAGAGCCTAAGCCAAGCCGTCCCACTTTGAATATGATTGTCACCAAGGACATGTCCATTCCACCATGTGTAAATGCTTCAGAAGTGGCAATAGCACTCCAGTCCTGTGTCACCGAAACTCAGAAGCATGGCAGCCCAGGAAGGCCCCAAGAACACAGCAAACTGACATGGGTTACACCAATTTAAATTCCAAGAAAGAGTGCATGTACATTAAGGAAAATTTCAAAAGTAATAAACATTAAAAGAAACTAAGAAACTAAAGTTATTAAGAAGCTAAACTTAGTCTTAGAAATTAAGAAGCTAGGGCAAAACAAAAAAGTTTTGGAGATGAAGGGTGGTGATGGTTGTACAAGGTGAATGTCCTGAAGACCACAGAACTGTACACTTAAAAACAGTTAAAATGGTCAATTTTGTTACATATATTATATCTCGAAAAGAGAAAAAAACTTCAGTTGAGACTGCATGTAGCTGTGATGAATCAATCAATAGAAATTATGTATTAGATAAAAAAGAAATTAAGAACTTTCTTAATTAAGAATTAAACTTAGTCAATCTAATCACAATGACTACTTGCATTCTTCCTGTGTTTTAAAATGTTTTTCCTAAAGCACAGAGTATTTTATAGTGGTAATCTGTCTATAACTTACTTTTCTTTTACGTAACATTCTTTGGAGGTCATTTGTCCAATTACTTCAATCTGTCAATATACACTATTTTAGTAGCTGCATATTAACTCATGAAGTATACCTAGCATAGCAAATTTAGCCAATAAGAGACATTTTGATTGCTTACTAATACTCGATATTATTAAAATGGTGGGGGACATCTCAGTGCATATTTTTACTTATATATGGATTTACTTCCTTAGGCAAGATTTCTAAAAGTGAAATTACCAAAGTTAACATTGATTTAACACATATGGCCAAATTTATCCTCGAAAGGTTAGTTCACTTTTTAGCACACTCACAACCTTAAGAAAACCTTTTAAAGCATGAGGCATCAGATTTGGAAATCGTTGATAATTTGAAAGGTGAAAATGTCACATGATTATTTGGATGTCTGTCAAGACTGATCATTGCCACATGTTTATAAACTGGCCATGTTTTCTCTTGTAAATTATCTGTTCCTGGCTTTTGCCCAATTATCTACTGATCTACTTAAATTTGCCTACAAGACATATCACATGACAGTCATTAAACCTAACCATTTTTGCATGACATAGTGTAAACTATTTCAGTGTTTCACATGTATTAACCACCCCTGGAGGGAAGGAAAGAAAAGAGAGTAATTCGACAGTAATTCCAAGACAGGGAGTTGCCCCTTAGGGGATGACTACAAAGGAAGAAAGAAAATACCTGGCTTCATGTTAGGCATCCCCATCTCCAAAACCACGCTGGGGGTATGCACCTCATTGTAGTAAATCAGGAGTTCCACGTCCCGATCAAACTTGTGTCCAGCAGCCAGGGAAACCTGAGTGGAGGACAGGTAAAGGAGCCACATTAGAATCATAACTTCTTGCTTCTTGGGGCTGAGGTTAGGGCGCAGTCCTCCTCCATAAGACAGCATGACTAGGAACAGAGGTGAGGCTGGAGAGAAGGCTCTGGAGATTAAATGACGATATGCAAGGAGCATGTGGGACCCCCTCTGGGTTACCACTTGGGAAGAACTGGTTGGGGACCAAGTCAAGACTCAAGCAACAGAGGTACTGACAATAGCAGTATTCTCTCATTAACTACCTGAGCAGAAGTCTTGTCCTCTCCTAGGTACTCGGTAGGACTCAAGGGGCAGTTGGATTGGACCTTCTCAATGCCATGCTGGGAATCTATGGTGGCGACCATGCTGAGTGTGTAGGGCAGGTCCTCCACAGGGACTATAGGAGTCTTCACATTAAGGCAACTGTCCTTAGACGACCCTATAAAAGATGACCTTAGTTCTGTTTTCCTTGCCAACACTTTTTATGACACTCTCAACCTTAAGAAAATTTCCCCATTTATGTCACCCACCACTAGAATTCAAAGGGGAGAGGTACTCACCAGAGAACTGGTATCTAGGATTCAGGACAGCTGGGAGCACAAAGCGCAGAGCCCCATCTGCTTCCAGAGGCAGCTCCTGCACATACTTCAGGGTGACTGCCGCCTTCGACCCAGGTTGGAGGTTACCCACATTGCAAGAGAAGACATCCCTGGAGCTGCTGTCCCCCTCCAATAAGAAGGCCTGGTGGCCCTGGGAGATGGCTTTCTCATAGTTGGTGCGGGCCTGAGAAGCACAGGGCGAGGGATGGGAAAGAAAGGGAACATCCAAGGTGACATGGCTGAAAAAGAGACGAGCAGTGCAGAGCGACTGTGTGATTGGTCTTGTCTAATCACAGCTATACTCTGAATGCCTCTGATTGATTTCTTTCCCCAAATGATTTTAGAAAAATGGCAGTTAGAAAAGAGTGGAAGAAAGAGCTTTCAACATCAGCATGTTTTGTGAAGGTACATTTAGTAGAGATCATAAAGAGTATGCATTAAGGAAATAAGAAGGGAGGAGGTAATGTAATAAGAAGGGAGGAGGTAATCTCTACTACCTTCATCTTGTCTTGTAATTCTGCTACAATTTTCTTCCCATCCACCAAGGCCTCAAAGCTGTAAACAGCAGAGTCTTCATCCATGGGGAACACAAAGAAGGCCTCCAAAGGAACTTTCTCCTCATTCTCGTAGTTCAAAGTTGCAGACACACCAGCCACAAACTCGTAAATGTTCACGCTCACAGAGATACTCTTCAGCGGCACTGGAGATAGACCAGAGTTCAAGTTCATCAAGCTTCAATAGATTGCCTCCTTGTAGATCAAGCCTTGTGATAGGTGCCAAAGATTCAATGGCAAGTAAGAGTCACAAATTAGGCTTACCTGGCTCCCGGTGGAGGGTGAGTAGGCCACAGAAGTGCACCATGGTGATGCAAGATTTCTGCAGAAAAGACATATCACAAACAGAGGACATGTTGGAAGTTATCTGTTCAAACACCAGTACTTTATGTGCCTTTCTCTGGCATAAGAATACATTCAAAGGGTTAATGTTGGAGTTAGGAAGTTGGAACCTTTAAAAAAAAGGAGACAAAGATTTCAGTCATAAGGGTCCTTTTAAATGGCAGTCCCAGGTGGGGAAGGTGTAAGATTCACTGGTATCTACTAAACAGGAAATCTCTGAAACACCCTGAGGCTGGTTCAAATACCAATTCCACTTTCTCAAAAGTGTATTTAATTCACCACTCCTTGGGCATATGGAGTAGGTGTCACTAATCCCTCTGAGCCTCAGTATTTTCTTTCCAAAATGAGTAGTATAATATCCACACATCGTATGTGAATTAATACATGTGAAGTCCCTACAATAGCACATGGGCCATAGGAGGCATTTAATCAATGATGACAGACATCACTATTGTCCCTATTATTGTTGTTACTGTTAATCAATAAACCTCTGCCACCATTCACTTTGGATCATGGCATTCAGAGACGCGCTGCATGTGAGAAGCTGTGTGATTCAAGATGGACTCCTGCCACAGGCCATTTACCTTGTGGCTTTTCTTTTGGGACCCAAAATTAAAAGATACGAGTATATTTGTTTGTATCCATCCAAGATATTCTAATATATTTAAATATTATATAGGCACATAGCCTACATTTGCACCCCCACTAAACAGCACCAATAAATCAGGCTTTTCATTCCATATCTGTTTTTATTTTGAGAAATTGGATAAAAACTGAGTGTGGCAAAATGACTCACAATTCGACAGCAACGCAGAGGACAGTGGCAGGTGTGAGGAGAGGAGAGGATGCTCAGAAAAGGGCTTCTACGCAGACCTCTGACCTGGGCAAGTTCTCTGGTAGAACAGGCTGGGCTGGGGGAGGGAAGAATTTCTAATAACACATTAAGCAGAGAGCCTAAAGCAGGAGACTCACACAGGAGTAAAACAGCTGAAAGAGAAGCTCTCAGGCTGGGCAATACTCACCAAGGTGGCTAGAGTAAAAGAGAGAGAGACGCAAAGGGCACCCCTACAAGGAAATAGCCTTCGCTTCCTGATTCTAAGCTCAGAACAAATCCTCCGTTGAGGAAAACTTGCTATTCTGCACCCTTGCCCCCACTCTTCCCAGTACAAACAAAATTAGTTTGGGTCAGAATTAGTTCTGTCTCTCAGGATGGCACTTCAGAAAGGCAACTTGCAAGGCTTAGGTAGAGACTGGCCACCAAGCTGAAAGCCATGAATCTGAGGCAGCTGGGAGAATACAAGGCTTCCGGCCTAGCCAGGTAGCTGCTTCAGGAATGCAGAGTCCCAGCACCAGCCGCTCAGCAGCTAGGAGGGTGGGAGGGGAGCTGGGTGGCACCACCGGCCACACACACCCCTGCGGCCTGTGGCAGGGGTGAAGTGGAGAACTCGGAACCAGACAAGGAGGAGATTTGGGGTAAGAAGTGGGGCTTGGATAAAATCAGAGATTGATTTAACCTTTCCATTCAGTCCTAGATTTCCAATGTCCACGTATTTACAGAAGAGACTGCGTCGGTCTCTTACATTTCTATAGAGAAGGGCTTAGGGGCTGCAACTGATTGGAGTAGATGAGGCTTACAGCCTCATTTCCTCAGCTTACACTATCCTGAAACTGAGAAAACATCAATTGTCTATATCAAAGAAAGAAAGCGGGAAAAAAAGTAAAGTAAAAGAGAAGGAAAGTAGGAAGAAGGGCCTTGAGATTAGGAGATGGCTAAATCCCTCCTTCAACCTCCAAAAGATTCCCCTAAACTGCCAAACTTGCAGGAACCTTCCTGGGGATCATACATCAGGATGAAATCCTCCACCCATGGGGCGTGCAATTCAAGGAGCCCCTACAAATTTGGGGACTGGGGAAAGGGAGCTAGAATGTGGAGCTCTCAGTCTTCCAGAGCAGGGGTTGGATCCAGGCCCTGCACCGGTAGCTTGGTCCCCTACCTTCCTCTCCTGCAGCCCGGAGCGCTCTGAGTCACAGCGGAGTGAAAACAGCTGCAGTCATAATTTCCGGAAAGAACCGCCCCCTTCTAGGGACCGGTTATAAAGTAGCGACTACAAGACTAAGGGATCAACGGAAAATTATTGAACAAATAATCGAACTTTCGCTTGTTTGTATCAAAGGAAAAGTCTTCGACTTTGGAACGTTTGGTTTTTTTCTTTGCTCTTTGCTAAGGAACAATCAGAGAACAGGCAAAGAGGGCAAGGGAAAATGCTGCAACAGGAACAACAACAATGACATTAAAAACTGCATATTTTTGTAAAAGCTTAATTGCCAAAGGCTTACTGTGTCCTGGGCCCTGTTAATCAAAGCTTTATGGAGATTATATCATTGACACCTTATCTCTAATGTGAGTCATTTTCCCCCAAGTTGCCCCTCCCCTACAGCAGGGGGAAAGATAAGGAGATAGTGCAAGGCACACACATCTGCTCTAATGAGAGAAGCTCTAGCCAGGGAAGCCCAAGTCTTCCTGTCATGGGTCGCTTATGGGATCCTGAAACCAAATGTTTGGGTTAACGATGTAAGTAACTGAGAATGTCTATGCTCATTTACCTGGCTAAAGGACATTAGAAGCGATCAAGGTCCCCATGGCTTCTCTATTTCAAAACAACCTATTAAATCTGAGACTTAAAGTGTCATATTGCTGTCGAGAATCTATAGGATAAAGAATACATGATACATATGGAAAACACAGCTTGATTTTGGTCTCTGTGATGTATTTTTTGTGGATATACTTGTTATATACTGGTTATATACTTGTTTTTGTGAGATATTTGTTATATACAAATAACTCTCCCCAAGTTATTTGTTCTCTCATCTGAAACGGGGATAATGACAAACCTCCACTGATTGTTTTTGTGAGATCTAATGAATCTTAGTGGCTATAAAAGTTTTATATATATATATATATATATATATATACACACACACACACACACACACACACATTTATATACTTTATATATATACACCCACATACACATTTATATACATGGATGTGCATGCATAGATGTATATATGTGTATATATGTACACCCATGCATGTATATACAGTTACATGCATGTAATATATGCATATATAGTAAAGCATAATATAAGCACAAATTCTATTTTATCAGTACTAGGCCCTACAACCATGTTTTTTACATGTACTGAACTAATTATGAGAGGAAATTATCCTTTTCTCTGGAGAGAAATCATGTCTGGTATTGTTCCTTGTGACTGTGCCTTCTTTCCATTGGCCGAAACATCTGAGCAACAAAAGGGAGGAGCTGGAAACGTGGGCAGAGTTCATCATCTGATCCTGCTGGGCTTAGAGCTTAGCACTAAAAGTCTGCCACAGACCAGGCATGCAGCGTGGTTAGAGGGCACTGAATCAGGAAACACACAGAAGTTGCTGGTTGTTGAAAAAACAACTATGTGAAAATTCCCATAACCTAGCACAATATACACAATTAAACCGATATAGATGAGATATCTTCACTTAAAAGTCTGTCTTAGTGTTGCCAGGCATTCCTCAAGGTTGATTCTCACCTTCTTTTTTATACTAACAGGAACCCCAAGTTTCACAATGTCTATGACCATTCAGAATAAAAACATTGCCTAGCCTCCCTTAAAGCTGGTGTGGCCTTGTAACTAAGCTCTGGCCCATAGGGTACAAGAAATAAGTGCAACACCATGTCATGCCCTTTCAAAGAAAAGAGGATGGCTTCCCATTCACTTTACCCTCTTCCTGCTCATTGGTGTGAATGCAGGTAACTGAACCAGCTTGAACCATAAAGACTAGATCATAAAGCCTGGAGCATTTCCCCTAAAAATGGAGAAGCAACAAGACAGAAAGATCCTGAGCCCCTGAGACTCTCATAGAGCAAGCCACTGTATCATCACAGAATTTTACAGGATAAAGTAACAAATTTCTCCATGGTTTATAACAGCTCTTTGGGTCCTTATCTTACCCTAATACATTTGATTATGATTAATTAAAAAGTAGACTTTTAAGGAAACTATCTTCTTCAGAATATGAAAAGCACATTTGCTTATAATGGAAATAGAAATCTGCATATTATGAGAACAATATCCAATTTATTTTAGCGCCCACCACTGTAACACATGTGCCCTGAATTATGCCGGTGTGTGTTGATTATGTTGATCATAGTTTGCTACTTATTTTTCTTCAGTTCTTCTGAGAGCCATTTCCCTTCCTGAAATAAAAAGGCTGTTTGTCATAGAGTGCTTAGCATTGGTTCAGAACAGGCTTTCAATAAGTCGTTTCGGTCATTGTCTCATTTCTGTTATTCTCTTTCTTCAATGTTCTCTATCATCATGGAGTTTTAAGTGTCCAGTTCTGCTTGTTCTCTCTCCTCTGATGTTTCCATAGCAATTCACCTAAAACTTCCTGCCGTTTTTATCATACTTGAGCCCTTTATGTGCTCTTAAAATTGTAAACCTTTAAGAAAGTAAGTTTTTAAAAGTCATGAAGTTATTTGTTTAATGAATAAATACATACAAATCCCAGTGGTTGTATATACGCTTAGGTCTTGTGATTGCAATCCACTATAGATACTGGAGAATAGATTTCAAAAGCTCAAATAACAAATGCTCAGACGTGCACAAATCTTATAAGCATTTATTACATATTGGTGATAACAATTATAATTAATAGGTATAATTTTCATATGATCACCGATAACTTGGAAATTAAGTGTTTGAAGATATCACAGACAACCTGGGCTCAGCAGAAACTTATCATGAATGAATGGATAGATAGAGTGAATTTAAAAATATGCATAGTACTATATATTGAGTTCCTATTTGAAACCAGTGCTAAGTGTTTTACATAGTATGTCAAACTACATTAATTACAGACAGGAATAATGTCTGTGATCACAAATCACTTAGTAGTTTGTCAGAAATTTCTTGGATGAGAGTGACCATTGCTTAAAAGTAACAATTTTCATCGATTACAAGCAAATATGCTCCTGACAAACCCAAAGCCTAGACAAATGCCAAAGGGGATAGGCAGGATGCAGCTCAAGTGTCTAAAAATCTATGAGGGCTTGTAAAGAACATATATTGCTCATCCAGAGGTTCGGAAAATTGTAGAGAAAACAAGAAACCAGGTTCTAATTTATCAGGATCTACCTCGGTCTGTCACATAATTAAGTCTATGAGCTTTAGATTCAGTCTGGGGCTTGAGTCCTACCTCTAGTTCTTAATAGTTGTATAATTGTGAGAAAGCAATTTAACTACTCCGAGTCCATGTCATCATTTGTAGAATGAACTGATAATACCTAGTCTATATGTATGTTGTAATCATTAAATGAAATAAGTTTTAAGGCATATGTCACAAGTTGGCATTCTCTAAATGTTAGTTCCACTTTCCTTTTGTTGGGTTGGCCAGCGGAATTTTGAGAATCTGGAAAACTATATGCCACTTAGATTTCCACATAGAAAGGCTACTTTCATGAAAAGGATTCTGAGATTTCTTATACTTTTTCTAAATCTGGCAACATTATTTTAGTTTTGGTTTGGTAGTTTTTTCTGCTCACCATCTTTTGGTTTTAATTACTCATCGTTAAAACAAACAAAACAAAACCACCATTGTTTTTAAAAAACCCTCATCTTAAAATTGGGAAGGAAAAGAGGAAAAGAGCAAGTGGGGGGAAAAGCAAAAGGAAGGATTCTAACAATGAAATTAAAGAGGTGAGAAATCTTTGTTTATCCAATTTCAAGAAATATAAATCTCATGGGTACACAGTATGTCAGAAAGTTTACAAGCATTATCTAAACACTCAAAATCACCCTGTGAAATACTATCATAACTGCATTTTACACAACACAAAGTGAAGGCTCAAAGAGCACCAGGTACCTGCTCAAGGACATATAGCTAATGAGAAACAAACTTGTTCTTCGCACTCAGAACCTTCTGGCTCCAAAGTGAGTATTCTATTCATTATGTTATAATTTCTTCCACAGCCATAAGAGGTATAGGGATGGGTAGAAACTGGAAAAATGACAGATTTGGTAGGCCAAATCCCTGAAGTCTGCACAGAACAAAAGAGACTGATGAGATATCTACCCAAACCAGAAAAATAGGGTGGTCAGGAGGGATCCACAGCTCTTTGATTCCCAGTTCCTTTAAAGGGTATCGTGATTACTGCATCCTGTTTGCTAACTCCTAAACTCTTCCAATATCTGCCATTTAATTGATCCCTGTGCTCAGAGGGCTCCTGCTCCCTGTCTCAGAATAGATCATAGATGAGGCTCCAGGGGACTATGAGACCATTTAAAATTCCACAAAGGTAGGGGATATTTTCACTTTCGCTAACTCTGAGGAAGTCATCCTAGGCCATAGGGCAGCCATCAGATGTATAATATCTTCTGTATGGTTCTGAATGAAAAAGAAAAAGCCGTTTGGGGTCTGCAACTGGAGAACTCAAACCCAACTCCTTGGCACGCTGAGAAATGAGATGTTTGGGATGGAGAGCCCCATACTCTATAGAAGAAACAGAAGACAAAAGAAGGGTTAAAAACATTTGTGTTCCTTAATTGAGCTGGTCGTGATCCTTGTGACTATGTAAGTATTCAGAGCTTCTCCTCAACTTCCTTAATTTTTACTTGTTTTCCTCACTCCAAAGACCTGAGTAGCAAGAATTGTTAGAAGAAATCACCGTGAAGTGCTTCTTTCTCATTCTATATGGCAGCCAGAGTCTTTTCCTCCACTCACCTTCTCATACAGCATTTAGGAATGTATTTCTTGATTCCTTTCCTTTTGTTGTTACTAATGAATTCAGCATCCATCACATTCCAAGCCCCACAGAGTTGCTTAGAATTAAAATTTAGTTGGTTATATTCCTTGACATGGAGAAAATAAATAATCTTTAGCAGACAAATATATATATAACAGACATTCTTCTGGTTCTCTTCCTAATTCTCTGAAGGATATGTACATTTCTTCTTAAATGACTCCCTTTCCTTCTCCTTTTCCTAAAATGTAGTATTTCTCAATGTTTGGCCTCCAGTACTATTTTGTCTTGACTACACCAATCTCTCCTAGTGATATCATTCAGGCTTAAGACATTGACTATCATTTTCATTATTATTATATGTACTATGGGGAGTCCCATGCTAAAGAGTTTTCCAATCTTCTTTAGCATGGGACTCCCCATAGTAAATATAATAATAATGAATATTACATATTCATTATTTATATATATATTATATGGACTCCCCACAGTAAATATAATAATAATGAACTATTATATAACATCTTATTAGGTATCAAACTCTTTCATGAACATCACCATATTTAATCTTTACAGCGATTCTGTAAGATAAATATCTCAGTTAATAGTAACATGAGTGGGTGCTTAGTATAAACCAAGCACAATTATAAGAACATTCCACATATTCAAGAAGCACAATTATAGTGTAGATATCAAAATACAGGTGGGTGAAACACAAAGAACTGTCCTATTTTACCTGTATTGTCCCGCCTTAATTATTAATCGTGCTCCCCTTTGCTCTTAAAGTGTCCTAGTTTGAATGATAATTTTTAGCTGCCTAGTTAAGGTTTAGGCTACTGGTGCAAGGAATACTTTCTGCTTCTGTAATGATGGGAAGCCGAGGCTCAGAGAATATAAATTACTGGCCCATAGTCACACCACCAAGTAGCAGAACTTGAGCTTGAATCTTTAAACCTCTGATTTAAGTTCTTTTTAATATTCTATGATGTCTCTTTTCTAGACAAATGTTTGGATTTGAATAGAATCTTCTAGGAAAGCTATATTTATTTCTATTATGGTTGCAACCCTAAATTACTATTTAAATTATCATTCTCAGTTCCTCATTTCTTTGATGGCTGTGAACCTGTCTGGTTGTGGGTCTAGAAATGGTGAGGAACTTAAATATTTAAAATTTTAAAAAATAATATTTGAAGTTATAAGGACAGAAATTTCTTAAAGTCATGGTTAATAAAATCTCAACCTGAAATGGTATCGTTTTCATGAGCTATTTCTCATAGATCTCCTTTTCTTTGAATTTTTATCTTACAGAAAGTCATGTTTATATTGTACTGCTTTCGAGTCAACAGCTGAGTAACTCACATTTCACTTTGTCTATCACTGATACCATGTATTAGCATAATTCATTTTTGAACGATTGGGAGGGGTTCTTTCTTGTGGGGTGTGGAGGATGCAGGAGGCACTTAAGCCATGGTTTCCAATCTCCTCTATCACATATATTATTTTTGCACCTCAATATAATTCAGAGGAGACCTCCATCAGTGCTCAGGGGTATTTTCTAAACACTTCCCCAAACTGTGAGTTACTTAGCATTAGCTGTACTCATGCTGATATTAAGTCAATACATTACAAGAATATTTTTACCCTTGTCAGAGTAAAGGACTAAGTAAAAGTTGCTGGGCATCTGAAATATATCAGACACCCTATTAGATGCCTTATATTACATTATCCCATTCAGTCTGCCAAACAACCCTTAGAATGTAATACTATCCTTATTTTGGAGATAAGCAAATGGAAGTCATAGCAGAGTCACAGAATTAGTAAGCAAGAGCCTAGATGTAAAACAAAATCTGCCTGGCTTAAAATCTTGTCTTTCCTTATCAACATTGCCTTATTGGCTCCTCTCATCCAAGCAGAGAACAATAGAATTCTCTATCTTTTTCAAGGTTATATCAGGAATATCATCATATGTAATCCTTACACAATTCTGTGAGGTAAGTATTATCTCAGTTAATCAAAAACAAACATTAGTGGATACTCACTATATACCAAGCACAACTATAAGAACATCCCACATTTTGGCAATATTTTCCCATTGACTTGATCTTGATTTCCAACATCAAACTAGTTTTTCCATTTATCCCCTAGATTTTCTTAGTTTAAAAGTCACAAATTACACTCCACTTTTCTGTGCTGAGTTATTAAACGTCTTTTTCTAGGAATGCATTAAAATAACTACATAGCAGTTAACTCTATTTGTCCTCTGTTCATTGAGCCTAACTGAAATTGTTCAGAAACCTCCCAAGATACCTATGTGAAGAGATGACTAATCCAGATCATGGAGGCCACCCAGTGGCCATGCACTTGTTCTTCAACAACTAAGGCACACATACAAACTGATTTCAGATCCAGATGATCCCCCAGAGGAAGAAGACAAAAGGATCCTGGGGTAAGGAGGTGGGGTAGTGGAGGGGAATGAAGAATACTAGCTTTCCCCCAACAAGAAACCCCAAAGGACCCCAAAATTCAAAGAACCCAATACAATAAACAGAATCTCTATAGACTTGATGCCTTAAGACAATAATAGATTGCATCAATTTCATTAATATGTTGTGATAACACTTTTCCAGATTTGATTATCACATGATCTAAGACATAGGATCTAAAGCTGGTACCTAAGGTTGTGTGAATAATTTTGTCCTATTTAAGATATTGTTTACAATAACTCCTTTTCACATTCTTTAGTTGTTGCTGTGACAGAACTTTCCACTAATCATAATTTTGTTCTTTTCCCTCTCTTCAGAAAGGTCCATTTGCCTTCCTTAACTCTCCTCCAGCAAGAGGTACTTATGAGTTACAGCAATTTCAAAGATATTCAAGCCTCATCCTATCTCTCCTAGTTCAGCAATTAGATACTCTACATTTCAATGAATATCTAAATTCCTTTTACTAGGCATGTATCTGAAGCCAAAAGTAGGCTGACTATAACCATTTTTTTGCAGGGGTTAAGAAAAAAGACTTAAAATAGTCGAAGGACCAAAGGAATAATTCTAGAGCATCCAAAAATTTGATCGAAATAAACACACTTGTTGGGTGCTGCTACTTCTTAAATCCTAGTGATACAATGATGAGCAAGAATAAACATGGTCTCTTCATAGAACTCACAGTCAGATAATATCCATAAATTAATTTCCAACTTTTCATTCATTCATTCCTCTAACAAATATTTAAATTCCAGCTATTCAGAAGCACTGTGACACGTGCTGCAGATTCAATGACAAATTATAGGTACTACTCTCAGGGATCTGGAAGTCTAACAGAACCTGAACTCAATTCCTTCAGTACTTCCTGTGTATATATGGATGATATTCATCTATCTTACCACTTCCATATTTTTAGAGGCTAAAATTATCAATCAATAACTATTACTTATAAAGAGGATCAGAGAAATTGACCAGGAATTGTAAGTAGAGATAAGGGCAATTATTTGTTTTGATATTTGGGAATATCAAAAATATATATATCAAAAAAGTAAAAACTGAAAATGAAAACATCCTTCTTGGATGATTCACAAGAGCCTTTGTATTCAAGCACTGTCATATCCCAGCGGCAGTTACATGTTCTCAGCCTATACAGTTACCTCTTTCCCTTAAAATAAAACAGTCAAATTCATAGAAGCTGTGCGCAAAATGATGGTTGTCATGGGTGGGCAGGGAAGACAGGGAGACCGAGTTACTAATCAATGGCTCTAAAGTTTTAGTAATGCAAGATGAGTCTAGAGATCTGCTGTACAGTATTGTCCCCATATTGTTAATAATAATATTGTATTCTATACTGAAAATCTGGTAACAGAGTACTTCTCATGTTAAGCGCTCTTACACAACAAAATAATAAAAAAAAATTTTAAAGATAAAAACACACAAAAAGCTTCTGAATTGAAATATTTAATTTCATTATTTTAAGGATTCAAAAAATCCAATCATTAGCAAAGATTAAATATTTCATATCTGCATCTTTATATATGATGTGACTTCACTAAAACCTAAAACTAGGATATAATAATATATCTCAGCTGCTAATCTCTAAGCAATTTAAAACCTCAGAATAATAACCAAATCAGTCACTGTTAGTTTCTTTTCAGACAAATGAATATTTCCAAATAAGAACATGCCAAAAATAAAAAGTTTATCTATAATTAGAATGATATTAACACAACCCAAATCTTAAAGCTCATTGCATTGTATCTCAATCCATCATTCTTATTAGACATGTCAATGACCAAATTGACTTTTGGTGAATAATTAGGGCATCTGATCACATCTTTGAGTAACTGTAGAAATATTCTGAAGAGGAATCAGGAGGATCTGACTTATCAGTTGGTCTTTTTAGGGCATTCATTACTGTATAATTTGTTGTGGACATTAATTATGTTCTCTGTTTTCTTAGCCCATCCAACATTTCACCATATTAATGTTTCATTTTGTTTTGTGTCTATATTCATGAAGGAATATATCTGAAGATATGAAGGCCTATGCATGCTTTACTAATTCCTAAATGTCTTTGGAATAATTTCTAATTCTTAATTTCAACATCAACTTAATGTTTAAACAAAAATTGGTGCCAATGAATGTATTGGTATTGTGTTTATCCCAATTAGCCTCCACATTCATATTTTCACACATTTTGTGAAAACCCAGACTACCCTTCCATGAACATGAGGAATCACACATTGCTGAATGAATTCATTCTACGGGGAATACCTCAGACAGAGGGACTGGAGGCTGTACTCTGTGCTGTCTTCTCATTCATCTACCTCTTCACCCTACTTGGAAATTTACTCATCCTTATAGCGATTGTTTCTTCACACTCCTATGTATTTCTTCTTGGGACGCCTGTCTACTTTTGACATATTGTTCCCATCTGTAACATGTCCCAAGATGCTATTGTATCTCTCTGGCCAGAGCCCAGTCATTTCTTTTAAGGGATGTGCTTCACAGCTCTTCTTCTATCAGTTGCTGGGTTCTGCTGAAGGCTGCCTCTATTCTGTGATGTCTTATGATCGCTTTGTTGCCATACATCACACACTGAGATATATGCTCATCATGAAGCCTGGAGTCTGTGTCGGCTTGGTCGTGGTGCCGGGTTGGTGGGTTGTCTTCACGCCACCATTCTGACCTCCTTTACCTTTCAGTTGTCCTACTGTGGCCCCAATCAGGTGGACTACTTCTTCTGTGACATTCCTGCTGTTTTACCCCTGGCTTGTACTGACAGTGCCCTGGCCCAGAGGGTGGGTTCCATAAATGTTGGCTTTCTGGCTTTAACACTTTTGATCAGTGTCTGTGTCTGCTACACTAGCATTGGGATTGCCATCTTGAGAATCCGCTCATCAGAGGGCAGGCAGAAAGCCTTCTCCACCTGCAGTGCTCACCTTGTTGCAATCCTCTGTGCCTATGGACCTGTAATCATCATCTATCTGAAGTCCACACCCAACCCCTTGCTTGGTGCCAGGTGCAAATATTAAATAATGTTGTCTCACCCATGCTGAACTCGTTAATCTATTCCTTAAGGAACAAGGAAGTGAAAAGGTCCCTGAAAAGAG
Source organism: Homo sapiens (assembly GCF_000001405.40). Lineage (NCBI taxonomy): Eukaryota > Metazoa > Chordata > Mammalia > Primates > Hominidae > Homo > Homo sapiens. The sequence continues at coordinate 124,105,083 of NC_000011.10, read as the reverse complement.
TATTCTGAAATGTTTTACTTACTGTTTGTGAATAAATTATGAGTTATTATTGGGAATAAATGTCATAATTAACATTATTCTTTGTCTCTTAGTTCTGGATAAGGAATCCAAAGGGCATAGCAAGCACTTGGAGATAGATTTTTTGTCCCTGTAATAGGTAGCCAATATTTCCTGGTTGAGGATAAAGAGGATCTGTAGCAGTCCAAGAAGCACCCTTCAATAGTTCCTCTCTGTCCAAATCAACATTCAATTTTACCTTACTTTTTGCTCCAATTAAAATATAATTGTTCCCCTTTTCTGCCTATAAGAATTTCAGTTCTTCCACCTTGTGAAGAAGAATATTAACTAACATTCATAGAGCATGATCTGTCTTCTGGGCATTGTGATGAGCATTTCACGTACATCATCTTATTAAATCTTCACATCACCCCTATAAAGTAGATTTTACATAATGTAGAAAAGAGTTTTGAGGATTAAATATTTCAAATAATGAACCCAAGGTTACACATTAAGCAGCAAATCAGACCTCAAACTCAGCTCCTGTTAACTCCAAATCACCTCCCTGCTATAGATTCCTGTACCACATAGCTACCCTAAGTGACCTCTTTTTACTCATCCTGCAATTTACTCATCCTAATTACCTCTCTCCAGAGCTCATGATACAAAGAAGTTGTCTGATAAATAACTGGTAAAATAAGTACTGACATAGGTTATGTCTATATACAGTCATCCCTCAATATTCATGGGTTCTGCCTTTGTGAATTCAACCATTGTGGATCAAAAATATTCAGAAAGTAAATTTTACAAAGTTCCAAAAAGCAAAATTTGAATTTGCCTCGCTTGAGTACTACATTGAATTCATGTGCATGAAATGGTGGTAGGCATTGTATTAAGTATTATAAGTAATCTAGAGATGATTTAAAGTATACAGGAGGATGTGCATAGGTTATATGCAAACACTACACCATTTTAAATAAGGGACATGAGTATACTTGGATCGTGGTATTTATGAGGGTCCTAAAACCAATGCTCTGAGGATACTGAAGGACAACTGTATTGACTTTATTATTATCTCCACTTACTCTATTCTACTACCCAATATTCCCACCTGCAGATGGTGGAACTGAGATACAGCAATAAGTGTCTTCCTTGTGTACTACATTCAGTTATGCTAAAGCCAGCCCTAGACACAAGCCCTCTTAAGTCCTACTGTGTCATGGTTTTCCTACTGCATCACACTGCCAATATGTCAAAATACTCTTTAGTGTAAACGCAGGGGGAAAGTCTTTCCATCCAGTGTTGTTGAAGACAAGATGGTCTAATTATGGGGCTTAATTGGCATGCTCATTTGATTCTCCCAGCAAGTTACTTTTTGTAACTTAACTTCCAACAAGACTGGAGTTGATAACTGTTTCTCGACTTTCTCAGAATCTAAAGTGAAAGAAATGGTACTATTAATTGGGGATCCCACAGACACGCCAGCTCCTAGTTTCCATGACATTTTAGTTATTTGTAGTTTTTCTATTCCATTTATAGTCCCCAAAGTTCCCTTCGTATTTGAAACCAGTAAACAAAAACAAGTAAAAATCTCTAATAAAAATGCTTACTTTACAAATAGCATGAAGCAAAAAGGATAAAATGAAGCTCCTTCAAGCATAGTTAAACGGTTTTATTGCAATAGGAGGATTCTATGGCTCCTCCTAACTTGATTGGCAAAAATCCAAGATGTCATAGCATCTTATTCCCACACTTTGGAGATGCCTATCAGAGATGATATGCTGGATTCAAATAACCCTAGTGTTAGTTTGCTGTTCTACTAGTGCAGGGTATTTGTAGAAGAATCTACATGTCATGATATCTGGTAAAGCCTGAATAGTGTTTAGGGACAGATGTTCAACACACTGATACTTCTATAACAGATTTCTTTTCTAGACAATGGAAAGTTTCATAAAAGTAGGGATTATGTGTGTCTTGCTCACCATTGTATCCATAGGACATAGCCCAGTGACATAGTAAGCTTCCAGTGTAGGTTTGCTGAATGAATGAATGGATAGCTCTTTACCCATTCAAATTGTGATGCAATTGTATATTTATCGATACAGAGGAACGTGTGCGAAATAATTAAGATACAGAATAATATTATGTCTGAATTTAAATATATATTCATGTTTAGGTAAAACTGATGATATATAAAAAACAAAATCTGAATGACCAACTTTTTGGCTTTTTCTAAATTAGTCTTGCAATGACTGGCACTGAAAAGAGAAACTTTAACCATTTAAATCTTTCCTATATCTAAAAGCACACAACATGAGATTTTATTTAAAACACATGTGCACACATACATAAACACACACAGACACACATATTCACTTTTTAAAATCTTACCTCATTAACAACAACAGCAACAAAAGCAAATAACCTGATTGAAAAATGGGTAAGGGACTTAAATAGACATTTATCCAAAGAAGAGACACAAATGGCAAATAAGTATATGGAAAGATGTTCAATATCACTGAGCATTGAGGAAATGCAAATTAAAACCACAATGACATATCACTTCAATAAGGATGGCTACTATTTTAAAAATTACAATAGTAATAAGCTTGGGCTATGATGTGATAAATTGGAACCCTTGTACACTAATGACGAGAATGTAAAATGGTGCAGATGATATGGAAAACAGTATTGTATTTTCTTAAAAAAGTAAAAACAGAATTACCATATGATCCAGCAATTCCAGCTCTTGCTATACATACAAAAGAAATAAAAGCAGGGTCTTGAAGATACATTTGTACACCCACGTTCCTAGCAGCATTAATCACAATAGGCAAGAGTCGAAAGCAACCCAGTATTCATTCAATGAATGGATACACTAAATGTGGTATATACACACAACAAAACATTATCCAGACTTAAAAAGAAAGGAAGTTCTGACACATGCCACAACATGGATAAGCCTCAAGGACATTATGCTAAGTGAAATAAGCCAGTCACAAAAAGACTGTTTAAATCCAGTAACATGAGGTACCTAGGGTAGTCACATTCATGGAAAAAGAAATTAGAATGCTGGTTCCCAGGAGCCACAGATGTTGGAAGGAAATGGAGAAGTTGTTTAATGGTAATAGAGTTTCAGTTCTGCAAGATGAAAAAGTCCAGGAGATTAGTTGAGCAACAATGTAGATAGTCAAGCAACAATGTAAATAAACTTAGCACTACTGTACTATATATTTCAAAATGGTTAAGATGTTAAATTTTATGCTTTGTGTATTTTACCACAATTTTCTTTTTCTGAGACAGAATCTTGCTCTGTTACCGAGGCTGGAGTGCAGTGGTGCAATCATGGTTCACTATAGCCTGGACCTCCCCACTCAAGAGATCCTCCCACCTCAGCCTCCAGAGCATCTGGGACTATAGGTGTGCACCCCACATCCAGACAATTTTTGAAATTTCTTTTAGAGATGAGATCTCATTATGTTGCCCCCAGGCTGGTCTCAAACTCCTGGGCTAAAGTGATCCTCTCATATTGGCCTTTCAAAGTACTGGGCTTACAGATGTGAGCCACCACACCTGGCCTACATTTTTTTTAAAGTTTGCTTATGCAGTTTTCGCACATTCTGTGGCTTATTAGTTATCTCCTTTTTCCTGTAACTACGTCTACTGTAGTTGAACCCTCTCAAATCACTATTTCTTTATTTTTTATACCTCCATTTGGTGTGGGCAGAGAAAGAGTTTGAGAAGTGTAGTCTAAGGTAGCTTTTCAGAAGATCTGCCTAGAGTAATAAGTTACCATTCATTGAGTCCTTATTCCTCACCAGGCACTGCGTAATTGCTTTTTATATATTATCTAATGTAATTTACCTATGAGTTCTATGAGATCATTTTACAGAAGATGAAATGAGATTTAGGGATGTTAGGTAATTTTCTTTAAGCCACACAATTAGTTTGTGGATGTAGATGGGAATCTGTCTCAGATCTTCATGCAGCTATGCACAATACAGCAAATTTGATGAAACTTTAGAAATAAACATTTGGCCTTCCACACCCCCCTCAAAAAAAAACTTACCCCAACTTCTTTTTTTCCTTTCAATCTCTCAGATGCGTGAAAGCTCATCTGAGAGAAAACTCATTTGTAATAAAATATTCGAATCCCACAGAGTGGGGTACGATTATGCTCATTCTTATCTTGTTACTATCCTCTGTTGGTTCTAATCCTCTGGGTATTCCCAGAAGATACCGTGTGGGGCTTTACCTGATAATTAGAGTTAAAACATGGTTTGTAGTGCACATTCAGGTATAGAAACGTAAGGCAGAAAATGAAGCTTTGTTCTGACATTGTCACACGAGGCTAAAGCAGGGCCTTAACCCACACACATTCCCCGCAGCATTTCTCTGCCCTAGTGATTATCTTTCCTCTTTTTTTCCTGACCAAATATCTCAAAATTCTATAGCCCAGTGATCTTCCTTATTTGTCTCCCTGAAGGTGCTCTTGCGCCCTACAACTGCTCTCCTGACTGTAGCTAGAATTATCTTTCACATTCTCTCTTCCACAATGTGCCGAAACTCAATGCTGCTTAAAACTGTCTTACATTTTCTTAAGCCCCCTAATGTAGAGATCGCAATCTTTAAAGAGCAGAGCCTTTAGTCATCATTTGCTTTTCTGCCTCTCAAGTTTTATCTCAATTTTTTTCCTCTCTTTCCTCAAGTTCTTCAAATATACTTTACATCTTTCCAATGAAGGCTTTGCGCATGCTATTACCCCCGCCTAGAAAGGTTTTCACTTTCAGATCTCAGCTGGGATAACAGTTTCTCAGGGAAGTCCCCTTCTACCTTCAGGGAACATCAGCTAGCCATATAAATCATGATGTGGATACATATTTAATTTACTGATATGAAAGAGGAACATGAGTAGGATACAAATACTCTACCACGATAGCTTTTCAATCCACAGCACTTCTTCCTAGCCCTTACCGCCTTAAATAATTATCATTTATATATGTAGGATTATTTGACCAATGCCTCTCTTCTTCTACTAGACTGTAAGCTCATTGAGGACAGAGACTTTGGCTAGTTCCTGTTCACCAGAACATGGCTGTTTTTGTGTATGTTGGTAGCTGTAATAAATTTTTGACTTAATAAAGGCTAAAATGACCTCAATAAAATCTCTGATTTGTTCATGTAAACTTTTCTCCTCTTGTAGCCTTTTCTTAGCTTCTTATCTGCTTCAGATTTCTTAAACATTATTATAATTAGTTCTAAATTACTAAAATCCTTCCCTCCATCATGTCTTCCTGCCCAGTCTTCAGTGAGCTCACCTGCTTGTTCCATTCACACACCCACCTTGTTATGCTCTTTTAGAGAAAAATCACAAACCAAGCAGGTCAGCAACCCTATAAATTTATTATTGTCTACCTCTAGTGTTTGCTAGCAGTTTTAATACTTTTCTTCTACAGTATTGATCCTATTTCTTACCAGAATGACTATACATGAGTTTGGGGTCTCAAACTTCTACTTAACTTCTAGGCTCTCACTCACAAAGAATGAAAATCGAAATCACCAGCAAATGGAGAATGAAAAGATCAGCAAGATCTCAATATTCCCAGTCATAAAGTTCTCTGGGAAAATGAGTGGAAAATGTGGCTTAATCCAAGCCTAAGTGGAGACTCTTCTTTCTAGGCTGAATTGGAGACAGCAGGACCTGCGGCCCAAGAGCTACCTGATTTATTCCACCTGTCACAGTGGGAAAGCTGAAGCCAGGAGAGAAGGGAAGAATGATGGTGTCCCCCACTAGTTCTCTGTAATCTTTACCCTTTCTCTGTCCCATATTGAGAGCCTAGGTCAAGTACACCATGTCATCATTTAGTTGTCTATATGACTTTTACTATTGTGCACAGTGCTGTATGCATTGCAAGGTTTTGTGAATGAATATTAGTTTCTAAAAAATTAAATTTCCTACTGGATAATTTTTTTTTACATAACTTTCCTAATGTAACCTTCATCTGTTGAAGAAAATTGAAATCCTGAGTACATGGTTTTGCTGTGTAAAGTTAAATGAAACGAAAATTTAAAAATTTGTATTTCTTTGCAATCAGTATATTGAAGGGATATCTGCTTGCTCATGTTCATTGCAGCACTATTCACAATAGCCAATCTTTCAATCTCTAAGTGCCCATGAGTGGATGAATAAATACAGAAATTGTGGTATATCTACATAATGGAATATGATTCAGCCTTTTTTTTTCTTTTTTCTTTTCTTTTCTTTTTTTTTCCTGAGATGGAGTCTCACTCTGTCACCCAGGCTGGTGTGCAGTGGCGTGATCTTGGCTCACTGCAACCTCCTTCTCCCGGGTTCAAGCAATTCTCCTTCCCTAGCCTCCTGAGTAGCTGGGACTACAGGCACATGCCACCATGCCCGGCTAATTTTTGTATTTTTAGTAGAGACAGGGTTTCACCGTGTTGGCCAGGATGGTCTCGATCTCCTGACCTCGTGATCCACCCACCTTTGTCTCCCAAAGTGCTGGGATTACAGGTGTGAGCCACTGTGCCTGGCCGATTCAGCCTTTAAGAAGAAGGAAATCCTGTCATTTGTGACAGTGTAGATGACACTGAAGGATATTATGTGAAGTGAAATAAGCCAGGTACAGAAAGACAAATACCACATGATCTCACTTGTATGTGGAGACTAAAAAAGTGAAATTCTTAGAAACAGAAGAGTAGAATGATATAGTAGTTATCAGGTGGGATGGGGCAGATGTTGGTGAAAGATACAAAATTTCAGTTAAACCAAAGGAATAAGTTCAAGATATCTAATGTACAGCATGGTGATTATAGTTAATAATGTATACTTAAAAGTTGCTAAGTGAATAGATTTTAAGTGTTCTTACCACAAAAAAAGTATGTGAGGTAATACACGTTAATTAGCTTGATTCAGCCATTCCACAATGTATACATATTTCAAACCATCATGTTGTACACTGTAAGTATATACCAGTTTTATTTGTCAATTAAAATAAAGCTAAATTTTATTAAATATAAATATTTAACATGTTCAAGACACATATAGAATCTACATTTAACACGAAAATTGATCAAACATTGAATCTTTGCTTTAAAATGCAGACAAAATACAACTTGCAATGACACTTTTGTTGCTTATGATAATTGAACTGTAAGCAGTAATAAGAAAACTTTTTTTTTTAGACAGAGTTTCGCTCTTGTTGCCCAGGCTGGAGGGCAATGGCGCCATCTCTGCTCACTGCAACCTCCACCTCCAGGGTGCAAGCGATTCTCCTGCCCCAGCTTCCCATGTAGCTGGGATTACAGGCGTGCGCCATTACGCCCAGCTAATTTTTGTATTTTTAGTAGAGATGGGGTTTCACCATGTTGGCCAGGCTGGTCTTGAACTCCTGACCTCAGGTAATCCACCCTCCTTGGCCTCCCAAAGTGCTAGGATTACAGGTGTGAGCCACCGCGACCGACCAGAAAACATTTTAGTTACTTTATTGAAGTCTTTCCTGCTGTGATCTGATCACTATTTCTTCTGTAACAGGTATTGTCACTGAGAACATTTGACCTTTGGGAACGCAGAACATGAGTGTTTTTACTGTGACCATCCCATTAATTTAGCACGTGCTATTTTTATTCTAAAACATTCTATTTGGAGATCTAAAATAGTCCATGGCATTTGACTTCCCTGAATACATTTTTTACTAGACCAGGTAAATTTCATGAGCTGTTACTTGCTAGTTAAAAGTTTATTTCCTCTTTTTTTTTTGGTACAAACTATTTTTTCAAGTTAGTCATGTTTCAAAACATTAAAGATAATCAAAGATAAATAGAATGGCAGAATTATTGAATTTTCTACTCTTGTCATTTGCTAGATGTGCAGCAAAACAGTTTTCTTTTCATATAAAAATTCCAGATGTATTTGGAATAGTGCAACTACCTAAACATTCCTTAAACACTGAAACTTTATGGCCAAAATCCTAAAGAAGACACCAAATCTAAACTCCCTCCAAGTTAAGAAAGTGATTTAACTTCTTTGACCCTTACTTGCCTCATCTGTAGAGGACTTCACCAGAGTTTTGAGGTTTAAGTAAAACTGTAAAATATATTTTTCTTCCAGATAGATTATACGTTTTTTGAGCAGAGAGACAATGTCTAAGCCACCTCACCTACCCTCAACCTTTCTCTCTCCTGGCAAATAATCAATGCTGACAGATGACTGGCACTCAACATTTGTTAAAGTAAATGTATATATAAATAAACAAATGAAAGAATGTATTCAATGAGGAAGTTTGTATTCCACCTCAACCCCTAATATGTATTGAGTATTGAAAGTATTTAACTCAGAAGCTTTAATAGATGTCAAGTAGTATAAGGACAGATACTACAAGTGATCGCTTAACATTAATTTTGAACTCCCAGCATATTTCTTCCATCTTTCTTCTGGCAATAGCCCCTTTCACTCCCCGCTGGAGAACTGCCCATCTCCATCCCACCATAATCTATACCCTGCTCACAGAGATAGGCATGTGACTCAGCCAAGGAAGTCAGATTCGAATCTTGGGGTGAGGCACACAGAAGCAAAGGCAGCTGAGGTAGAACTGGCTGATGGCGGTGCCCTGAGGTTGCTCCATGAATTCTAACAGCTAAGTTCCCTCCAGCTGCCCTACTTTCCACCGTTCCTGGGCCTAGTTTTCCATTAGTTTCTTTAGTTCTCTAAGCTACCCCAGTTACTGTTGCTTGCAATAGTCAATTCTGTCAATACTATGTAGCAAAATAAGGTATAATTTATTTATTAAAAAATAGTATATACATATGAAAAGCAGTAAATATAAAAATACACAATAAATATGTGTGATATATATGTCAAAGGAATGTTTAAAAATATTCTTCCACAGAGGTATATTTTACAAAGGAAATGATAATAATCAGGCTCTCTCTCTCTTTCTCGCTCTCTCCCTCTCTCTCTTCTCTTCTCTCATTCATTTCTAAGGTGTAATTATACCAAGTAGTTAATTGCTCCCTTGCTTAAAAAGTTCCTTGAGTTGAGGGATTAATACCCCAGGGAAGACCAAGGTTATTTAAAATGTCCTGTATTGAGGAATGATTGCAGTTCCTAGAGTTAGACAGGAAATTACTGTAAGGCAGCTGTGCATATTTAGATTTGTGGCATTCTATTTGAAAGTGATTGAAAAAAAAAAGAATTCAAGTCATCTACTTGTAGACTCTAGGCTGATGGGGATTTAGGCACAAACCTTCCTTCTGCTGGGGAAGGAAAGGAAGACAACATTCACAAGTAACAGCCAATTATGTTCTCTGTTTGCCATGTAAGTGCACACATTTTGCCCTTCACTTTTTATCTTGGCTTTCACTGCCTTCCTCCCTTCACAATCTACAGGAAAAATGAGAGAGACAGAGAGAGAGAGAGAGAGAAAGGGAATCATCTTAGGTAATAGAATATATGGGTTGATCTATAATTTATAGATCTCACTGCTGAAAAAAATTAAAACAAGTAGAAAAATATATTAGATTTTTTTAAAGTGTGAAACTTGGAAAGGAGTCTTTACTACTGCTACCCCTGTACCTTCTGCTGCCACAAAATTAGGATGTGGCTTAACTTGGGTCTGGTTAGACAATTACAGACTTTGGAGACAGAAATGAAGTCTACTGGTTACTCATGTGCACTGAATTCAGGTGACTGCAGAGGATAAGGAACTTGTTATTGTAATTTTCTGTTCATTAAGAGCTATCTGAGATCCTTCTTTTGAATAATGTCTCACTGTTGATCCTCATGGCCAGGGAGACAATGAGGGAAAGATATTTTATGTTTTGTATATGTCTTACAGAATTATAAATAACTTTTGGAGAGTTACCATAACCAAATTGTATTAGATGAATATAAGAAATTTGGATGAGACCTTGTTATAAAGACATTAAGTATTTACATTTGTCCTTTTAGAGCATATATAATTTATGCTATTTAATGGTAAATATGAAGAATGGCAGCTACAAGACTAGTCGTGCAAGGCTTCTTGGTAAAATTATTAAATGAGAGGCATCTGCAATTAGAACCTGCACTGCAGTCTTCTAACTTATAAGTGGGAGCTAAACAATGAGCACACGTGGGCGTACAGAGTAGAATAACTCTAAAAGTCGATTTGGGTGGGAGGGGGTGGTGAGGGAAGAAAAATTACTTATTGGGTGCGATGTACACCATTTGGGTGATGAGTATGCTATAAACCCAGGCTTCAGTACTTGGCAATATATCCATGTAACAAAATATATCCATGTAACAAAAATGCACTTGTGCCTCTTAAATCTGTAAAAATGAAAAGTTACAAACAAGAAAAGAAACCACTGCAGAATCCAGTACAGAGCAAAGCAGGCAGATCAAGATGATTCTACCAGGAAGCATTCCTCTGTAACTATCTAGATCTCTTTCTTCTTTTCCATTTCATTCATCTAAACACAGGTAATTTACATGCATATTAAATTTAACCACTTATTTCTTTTCACGGACACCCAAGAGTTGATTCCTCCCCAGGAATGAGAAATCACACAATGGTGACTGAATTCATCCTTCTGGGAATCCCTGAGACAGAGGGCCTAGAGACAGCCCTTTTATTCCTGTTCTCCTCATTTTATTTATGCACCCTCTTGGGAAACGTGCTTATCCTTACAGCTATCATCTCCTCCACTCGACTTCACACTCCTATGTATTTTTTCTTGGGAAACCTCTCCATCTTTGACCTGGGTTTCTCTTCAACGACTGTTCCCAAGATGTTGTTCTACCTTTCGGGGAACAGCCATGCTATCTCGTATGCAGGCTGCGTGTCCCAGCTTTTCTTCTACCATTTCCTAGGCTGTACTGAGTGTTTCCTCTACACAGTGATGGCCTGTGACCGCTTTGTTGCCATATGTTTTCCTTTGAGATACACGGTCATCATGAACCACAGGGTGTGCTTTATGTTGGCCACGGGGACCTGGATGATTGGCTGTGTCCATGCCATGATCCTAACTCCCCTCACCTTCCAGTTACCTTACTGTGGCCCTAACAAGGTGGGCTATTACTTCTGTGATATTCCTGCAGTGTTACCTCTAGCCTGTAAGGACACATCCTTAGCCCAGAGGGTAGGTTTTACAAATGTTGGTCTTTTGTCTCTCATTTGCTTTTTTCTCATCCTTGTTTCCTATACTTGCATTGGGATTTCCATATCAAAAATCCGCTCAGCAGAGGGCAGGCAGCGGGCCTTCTCCACCTGCAGCGCTCACCTCACTGCAATCCTTTGTGCTTATGGGCCAGTCATCGTTATCTATCTACAACCCAATCCCAGTGCCTTGCTTGGTTCCATAATTCAGATATTGAATAATCTGGTAACCCCAATGTTGAATCCACTAATCTATAGCCTTAGGAATAAGGATGTAAAATCAGATCAGCCCTGAGGAATGTATTTCCCAAGAAAAGCTTTGCTCTGGGAAATAAATGAGAACATTTAAAGCTTTGCTGGATTTAAGATTTTGATTACATTTTGAAGTTTGACTCTCCACTCCCTGAGAAAATTTCCCATCTGCTGCTGCCAAGGCAAGTTGAAACGAAATGTACTCCAAATCAATCTACTACTTAACCTCGCTCTTTTAAAATATCTGTCTGTTGGTGTATTTCCCTATACTTTAGAATTAATTTTTTTTGACTTTTGGAGGGCTTAAAGATAGGAATAAGAAATAATGTGTAATTGCTGCACTCCAGGCTGGAGTGCAGTTGCGTGATCTTGGCTCACTGCAACCTCCTCCTCCCGGGCTCAAGCGATTCTCCTGCCTCAGCCTCCTGAGTGGCTGGGATCACACCTGGCTAATTTTTGTATTTTTAGTAGGGCCGGGGTTTCACCATGTTGGCCGAGCTGGTCTCAAACTCCTGGCCTCAAGTGATCTGCCCGCCTCGGCCTTCCAAAGTGCTCGGATTACAGGCATGAGCCACTAATCCCGACCTAGAATTAAATGTAACTAATAGAGTAATTTAGCAGACATTGCACCTTCCTTCCTTCCTTCCTTCCTTCCTTCCTTCCTTCCTTCCTTCCTTCCTTCCTTCCTTCCTTCCTTTCTTTCTTTCTCTTTCTTTCTCTTTCTTTCTTTCTTTCTTTCTTTCTTTCTTTCTTTCTTTCTTTCTTTCTTCTCTTTCTTTCTCTTTCTTTTCTTTCTTTCTTTCTCTCTTTCTTTCCTTTCTTTCTTTTCTTTCTTTCTTTTTCTTTTTTGACAGGGTCTTGCTCTGTAACCCAGTCTGGATTGCAGTGGTGCAATAATAGCTCACTGTAACCTCCATGGGCTCAATTCTTTTGTAGTAAGGATTCTGTTAACACCACTGACACACTCCTTCGCCCCAAACATTTCTTTGTTCTTTAAACCTTTGAAAGAGTTAAGAGAACACATTTGCTTTCTCCTATCATAGTCCCGGTTAAAAGTGCATTTACATATGTGTGTGTATATATATATGTATACATATATGTATGTATGTATACATATATATATATATAAAGGAAGGAGAGAAGGAAAGGAGAGAAATCAGAAAATCCTACTTACTGCAGATTATAATCTTTAATTTTCTGCCAATCAATATTAAAACTCAAAGTAACTTAAGTACTGTTTAAAGTAATCCTTCTAGTATTCAGTCTTGTGTGATTTCAAGATTTTTCTAGCATACAGATTCCTTTGGAATATATATATTTTCCTTGTATTATTAAATTCCTGGAAGGTTATGTGTACTTTTTTCTCAAAAAAAAAAACTTAATTTAATTTAATTAAAAAAGGAATGTAGATGTATTTCTGTGTCTGTCATAGAAAGCCCATGTTAGAATTTTCATTGAAATTCAGGTAACAATAATAAATCTGTCCACCTGAGAAAGAGTACATTTCTTTTTTTCTCATAATACAATCGATTTATTTTTCTTCTAATCTCTGTGTTCCATAATGCTGGGGAAAAAGTAGGTAAATCTGGCTTATGGAAATAATGTTACATTTTATAATGAATGTATTCTTGTTTCTCTTTTCCTGATTTTGTTTTCTGTTTCTTCTTATATTTTACTTCCAAGTTGTCTGCCTTTTCTTTTAAGCTACATGAAGTCCTTTTTGTAAAGAAGCAAAGGACAGACAAAAAGAAAGATGGAAGGAGGAAGGAAGGAAAGAAGAGAGGGAGAGAGAGAGACAGAAAGAAAGAAAGAAAGAAAAGTAAATAGAAAGAAAGCTATATTTAGAGCTAAAATAGTACTTCATAATGGAATGATTATTACCTTCCTTCTCTTACCTTCAATTCCTATCAACACAGGTGATTGAACATCAGTTCTCCAAGTGGAAACTATAAGCCATCACACTGAGCCTGCATGAGCTATTAAAATATGTTAAATGAGCCCCAGTGAAGGCACATTGGTGACAGGTGATTTGTGATGTGCTATACAAGAACCTCTAAGATGAGATAACCGTAAGTGTACCTCACAAGCAATCAGGTAGTCAGCTACTCTATCTAGAAATAAAATAGACTTATTTTATTTATAATCTAGTTACTCTATCTAGAAATAAAATAGACTTATTTGTTCAATTTCAAGAAGTCTTTGTAACACTGAAGTTCCTTCCAGATAAGTAATAGTTGGATTGTAATATTAAACATGTCGAATGTTAAAATATAAAATATAAATAATGGCTTTATTTCCCTTTATCTCTCTAATATAGACATTGAAACAGGTAATAACTATCCATTACAGCAAGGTTGTTGTAATTTTAAATGTTCTGTTAACCAAGACACATAACAGTCACTCCTGTCTTCAATATCCATGTTTTCTTTCCTGGCCTTCTCTTTTTGGCAGGCAAGTGCTGAAACAGCCATATGTTTCACAACCTCCACTCTTCTGTCTTTTAACATGCACACATACACACATACACACTTCTGTTTTAAGCATGTTGCCACTTGTCACTACAAAGAAACAGATGGCAATACTGAAAAATAATAATCACTTGTAAAGTTACAATGGTTTAGAAAATCTCTTTGAATTTTTCCCTGACAGTTTCCTCTAATGTGTATTAAAATGTCATTCCAGCTCTTCTCTCCCAGTTGCTTCACTTTTCATCCACGGCTCAGGTTTACAGGCTAAGCACCTGGATTCAGAAATTTCTTTAGTTAATGGAAGAACCAAAAGTAGAATCCAGGTCTTCCGATTTTCAGTTCAGTTCTCATTTTACTTCACAAACTTATAATGCCAAGTGAGAAATGTATGGATAACCTTGATGCAACATAAGTTTAATTAATCTTTGCACAAGTCGTAACAGCAATAAATATACTAAATAAAAATAAATATTTTATTGTAAGAATGTATCTGTTGAATCAGAATATTTATTTATTCTAATATAAAACATTGACAGATTTTAAAAATAAAAAATTTAACACAAAAGAAATAATTTCTAGTTTTTCTGTTCTGTTAAAGCATTCCTAGAAGTTTCATCAAATTGACTTTTAAAGATTTAAACAATTTCAGACTTACAGAAAAGTTGAAAAGGTAACATAAAGTCCATGTATATTTGTTACTCACATTCCCAATGTTATCAGCATATTGTATTTGTTTTATCCCTTCTCTCTCTCATTCTCTCTCTAATCCTTCCCCCAATATTGTGTGTGTGTGTGTGTGTGTGTGTGTACACTTTATTCTGAACGAGTTGCAATCATGTGGTCCTTTTCCCCATATCTTACTTAAAGTTTATTTCCTAAAACAAAGGGTGTCCCCTTATATAACTATAATATAGTTATCAAAACCAGGAAATGAATATGGATACAATACTATCATCTAATCTACAGGTATTCTTTAGCTTTTCCCAATTATTCTAATAATGTTTTTATAGCACAAAATGTCCAGGATTATATATTGCATAATGTTATTTATCTTTTTTTAAAAAACTGGAATAGTTCCTGAGTCCTTTGTATTCCAGGACATTATTGTTTTTGAATATTTTAAGATGGGTACTTTGTACAACATACATCAGTTTGAGTTTGTCTAATGTTTTCTCCTGATTAGATTCAGGTAATGTGTTTTTGACAGAACCAACTCCAAAATGATGCTGTGTTCTTTCTAGTATATTATATCAGGAGGTACTTGCTGTGAATTTGTTCCATTACTAGTGAGGTTAATTTTTATCATTTGGTTAAGGTAGTGTCTGTCAGACTACTCAACCATAAAGTGATTATTTTACCTTCCTAATTAATAATGATTTTTTGGAGGGATGGAAACTTTGCAATTATGTACATATCCTATTACTTCTCAATTTTATCTGCCAGTTTTAGCATCCATAGATTATTCTTGTCTGAATTATTATTATAATTGCCAAATAATAACTTTCCAAATTAATTATTCTTACCACATTAGGTCATTGGTTTTCTACTATAAAGAAGATCTTTATCTCTCCCTCTATTTATATCAAATGACACTGTAACTAATTGTGATATCAATCTTTCTGCTCTGTCAGCTGGAATCATGGGATAAGATGATTATACTAGGATATTATCTCTCATCGGAGGAGGAATATCCCTTTTTAAGAAAGGAGATGTAAAAAATATTAAAGGGAGATCCTTCCACTAAACTAGATGACTTTTAAGTTACCTTCCAACTCTGAAATACTAATTCTGTGATTCCATATGGCTGTCTCATAACAGTAGAATCTCTTACATCATTGGAAAAATGGAAGCATAGACAGAGGAAGAAATGGCATATGGGAAGCCTGGGAGGGAGGGGGGTTAGGAACCTTTGTAAATCAGCCAACAGATAAAAACAAGTCCTCTTTCACTTGCTTGGTACCTGCCAGTTGTAAATATTAAATATTAAATACTAGGCAATAACGGCAGTCAAGCAAATAACAGGATTTATTTGTTTTAAGAAGAGACACGATCAGAATATATTATAGAGAGATCACCAACATTTTTCAAGACAGGAGATGCAAGTTCCCTGGACCCAAATCTCACCATTGAACACAGGGCTGTTCATGAGAATATAGGAATGAATAAGTTTACATTAGAGTCTCTGGAAACATCATTCACTCCCCTCAGACTGTATATTAGAATATAAGGCTTGACCATTCCTGTATGTATGTGTTGCCAAATACCTCAGCCAGGAGCAGTTATACCTCATCAATCTCAGCATTATACAAGTACACAATATGATTATAGAGTGCACAGTAAACTCACACCGTGACGAAGTCCTAAACCACTGCTTTCGGTCTCTGCAGTCTACAGCATTTGCTATGAAAACATTTCTGAATTAGGTGCTGCAGAATTAGAAAATGAATCCGTTTCCCAGAGTTCTTGGGAAATCACATCAAGAATTCCAACGTCCATCTCAATCAGGACTTTATTTCAATCTATACCTTTACATCATCCAAAGGTGTTTAAAAATTTCAGTTTCTACAAAACATAATTGCCTTGCACTCTATACTAGTCAAAAGGCCTAAGTCAAGTGCACTGGGAATAGAACACTTTTTTTTGTTGTTTTGTTTTGTTTTGAGATGGAGTCTCGCTCTGTCGCCCAGGCTGGAGTGCAGTGGCGCAATCTCGGCTCACTGCAAGCTCCGCCTCCCGGGTTCACGCCATTCTCCTCCCTCAGCCTCCCGAGCAGCTGGGACTACAGGCGCCCGCCACCATGCCCGGCTAAGTTTTTTGTGTTTTTAGTAGAGACGGGGTTTCACCATGTTGGCCAGGATGGTCTCGATCTCCTGACCTCGTGATCTGCCCGCCTCGGTCTTCCAAAGTGCTGGGATTACAGGCGGGAGCCACCGCGCCCAGCCCAGAACACTTTTAAAACGTTATTTCTTTGTCCATTAAAATCTTACTAAACTTTCAAGGTTTTCTGTAAATTATCACCTTCAGCACATGATATGAAATAACCTGGTCTAAAACTCACTTAAGTGGGCAATAAGTTAAATGGCAGACCCCGAAACAGTTTTTGGACATTTGTGGGAGATGGGCACTGAAGAGGGTGTGATACAACCGAGCGTAGAGCAAATCACCTCTGTAGAATGAAAGAGATTTTGTCTGGAGAGAATACAAAACCATAAACATGGCTTGCAGAGTTATGAATATAGGGTCCCCTGATTATGAGTTAGAATAACTGTACTTCCTTTATAATTGGTGTGTCAGAAACACAAGGCTCAAAAGGACTGGAAATTAATAGGTTAAGCATATACTGAATTGCATGTTATTATTCAGCACTTATTTGTTGACATACTCTGTACAATAGTTAGGATCTTCGAGCACAGAGGTGAATAAAATGAACACGGGCCCTACCTTTAAGAAACTTACATCAAAGGAAGAATGGAGCCTTCAGTAAAACTTGGAGACTATGATGTCACCGCTGTAAATTTCTAAATATTTCATAAAAACAGGAATACCTGACATTTATTTACCAAAGAGAGAAAGAAGTATCTATAGGTAAATTATTTCCCAGGATATGGCAGGCTTATACCATATGTATCTCTCAATAAGATATTACTGGCAGTTGAATTCTAAATCCAGACTCACTGTTTATGGGTTCCAGGCAACCTGCACAGACTGACTAGTATCCGGACAGGATGACATCAAGATTTTTCTCCTTTCTCTCATATTGTCTCTAGAAGTTACACTCCTAACTTCCAGACCACTAGTTCTCTCATATAATTTTCGCAGTAGCAGTTGGTTGAAATTATACCATGTACTGGGTCCTGGGAATATTATTTTGCTTGAAATGTTACTACATGGCTAGGAATTTTTTTTATTGTTTTTTACTATTTTAGATACTAGGTTGGTATTGTGAAATTCATATATTTCCACTTGGGAAAGCGGAAACTAACAAACAGCCTTTGAGTTGGAGCATTCAAGTTTGGAAGTACTAAAAGGAGGCCCACCCTATTTCATCAAGAGAAAGCCCAGAGGTTAGCCACGGAAGAAGGACCTGTGGCCTCAAATAAGGCACTCAGCCTTAGAGTAACATGAATATAAAATTGTGGAGGGAGAAATGTTGGACTTGTAATTCTTTGGACTTTAATATACAACAAAAGGATATTTCATATTTGTATTTTAATTTCTTTCTGAAAATTTAATACAAAAATTCATATTTAGAATTTATATTTGTGTGTGGCTTAATTTTGTTGGCATTATATTATTTGGCATATTTTAACACTTGTGAATGTTTGTTTTACAGTTTTTTCTTTTGGGCTATATCGAATGCTATGACTAGACAATTTGTGATGAGAAATAGATTAGACAATGCATTTTTGGCTGAGAGTGAAGTGTGTCCTTGATATTAAATCAATGTACACTGTGTTCTGAAGAGAGCCAAGCAGGGCATCCTGCTGGCTGATTCCCGCAGCTCTCCCTGGGTTGCCTGGCAACAAGCTGGCTGAAGTCAGAGTCGTGCTTTTCCCCCAGCAGTGGAGAAGGCAATCTGAGATGCTGCTGGTTCCAAGGCTTTAGAAGAAGAGAGAGAGGATTTTCCCTTGCATTCTTAATCCAGTTTTATCATTAATGATACTAACATTTTGATCCAGTTGGATCTTTATTTCTATTCATCAATATTTGGTACACAGAGACGAGGAAGTGGGCAGAAAGGTGACTGATTAGGCTCCCTCAGCGTACGTTATCACATCATTCTATTCCCAGGTTGCTATGGTGCTTCCTATAATCCAAGTTGCTTATAGGTAAGTGAATGGATTTATGACTAGAATTCAGTAACCATGTTTAAATTTCTTCCTAACCTCAACCTAATATGTATAATAAAGCATGACAAATACTTTCTAAAGTGCGTACCAACCTAAGCTTTATGCTGAACACACTACAAAGAAGGTAATCTATCAGTTGTCAGAGCCTCTTAATAAGGCTCAAGATGTGGTACTGCCTGCGGTAAATGAGCATTTCCCTTCTGTCTTCCATCTTTAGAATAATGACTTTACATCATGCGAGATGCCCAAGGCAGAAACTAAGAGCGCACCTCTACCTTTTCACACTCCCACTCGGCCAATCATCCATTCAGTTCCATTACTCTATTTTTGAATCTTTTTTTGTATTATCATCCAGTCTCCCTATCAATTGCTCCCACTTTGTTTCACACCTTGATCACACCCTGATGTCCTCTTAAAAGGAATCCTAGCCACTACACTGGCCCCTGTCCAGCTGCCTGTCCACACTGATTCATATTATAACATATTTTTAAAACACCATCTGATTACATTGCTCACTGGTGACTCTTCACAGCCTGGAGGATGAAGTACAAACATTATAGCATATCGGGTAAGAATCTTTATCACCAGATCCTGCAGGCCTTTCTGTTCACATGCCCGTGTATGAAACTGAGTTGTGGCTTCTCAAACACACTGTGCTGTGGGACCAAGAATTGTTGATAAACCTCTACTAAACTCTTCAATCTGGACTGCTCTCAAATGGTGTCTCTTCCATAATCCCGATGGAGAAGTTGATTTCTCCTTCATTTCTCTCTAGCTTGTGAGTTACTGACGGAATTCCTTCAGCAGCATACTTTAGAGACTGTGGGGAATGCAGACCTGAGTTGAATTCCCAGAAACACTTCTTACTCGCTGTAGGGCATTGGCCTATTACTTGAACTCCCTGAGCCTCAGTTTCCTCCCTTTTGGTTCTGAATAATACACCTCCCACCTCCCCTCATGTGGATATTGGCAGCATGATGTAATATCTATTAAGTACATCACAATGCTGGCTCATAGAGCTAAAGCAGTAATTTTTAGTAATTTAATTCCCTCTCCTTCTTAGCTAAGTTAGGAGATTCTTAATGAAATTGTAAATCTTAAGCACTAGTACAACGCCTTAAGCACCTAGTACAATGCCTAGTACAATAATGAGTAGTCAATAAAGTAATGAAATATTACTAATAAATACATTCATAAGCCACTGTCAATTAACAAACATTTATTGATTAACTATGATGCTAAAGAAAATTAATCTATGTGCTTTCAAAGATACAAAGCAACTTGAAATTAGCCTTGGAAGGACAAGAAAGAATTATATAAAATGGTCATAACTATTACACTACGACACAGGCCAACTAAATAGCTCTGACAACAGCAAACATGGTCTCCAATTAAAACTGATTTTACAAAGACATCATAACCATGTTTCAGTCCAAAATTAAAAGTCTTATTATCACCAAAGTTTATAATAAGAACAATCAATCTATCCATAATAGAAACTATGACTACAGAGGAAAAAAAAATCTCCAAAAGAAGATCAAATTTATTTAAATTCTCAAATACTTGGAGAGATTTGTTTCCTTTAAAGCAAAAGTAAGTAGAAACCAGGATATCTATAAAAATCTGATGAGATGTTTTGTGAGTGACTTTTCTTTTTCTGTAGATCCTAATAAAGACACTTCCTAGTCATTATGTGTTCTCACTGAGACAGTGTTCTTATCTTCTCCATAATCCTTTCCAATGTATTTCTTTTATTTTTAATTGACAAATAGTAATCCTACATACTTCTGGGATACAATGCGATATTACAATATAGGTAGACACTGTGGAAAAGTAAAGCAAGCTAATTAACATATTTATCACCTCACATAATTATCCATTTCTTTGTGGTAAGAAAGTTTAAAATCCACTCTTTTAGTGAATTTGACATATGTTATAATTAACTATAGTCACCATGTCACTCCATTACGAAAATTTATTCCTCTTATCTAACTGAAAAGTTGTATCCTTTAACCAACGCCTCTCCTTTCTCCATCCACCTTCCCCATCCCCAGCCCCATCACTCCAGCCCCAGTAACCAGTATTCTAAGCTCTACTTCATGAGTTTGGCTTTTTTGGATTCCATTTATAAGTGAGATCTAGGACTATTTGTCTTTTTGTGCTTGGCTTATTTTACTTAGCATAATGTCCCTCAGGTTCATCCATGTTGTTGCAAAGGACAGGATTTCCCCCCTTTTTGAGGCTGAGTAGTATTCCATTGTGTACATATACCACATTTTCTTTATCTATTCATCCATTGATGGATACTTAGTTTGTTTCTATATCTTGGCTATTGTGAATGATGCTGCAATGCATGTGAGCATGCAGATATCTCTTCAACATACCGATTTCAGTTCCGTTGGATACATACCCAGAAGTAGAATTGCAGGATCATGTGGTAACTCTATTTTTCCCATAATGGCTGCATGAATTTACATTCCCACCAGTAGTGCAGTATGCAAGTGTTCCCTCTTCTCCACATCTTTGCTAACACTGGTTACATTTCATCTTTTTTATGATAGCCATTCTAATCTGTTGATGCTCCTATATGATGAGGTGAGTTTAGAGGTAGGAAAAATGTGTCTTCTCCCTATGCATTTTTCTTCATCTCATGAAAGAGTCTGCAGTTTTAATAAAATCAGATCAGCACAGAGGTCAGCATGATATGTAGAGGGAGACAGAAGCTAAGGGTGGGAGAATAGGGAAGAGCGTGATTTGCTGGTTTTATGAAGATTTATAAGGTGAAAACATATGGAAAAAATAATGACTCTATTCAAAGAGTTTCCTCTGGGAAGGGTGCTAATGAGGATTATCTGAAATTAGAAAGCTCAATTTAGAGACAGATATATAAAAAAAAAAGAATGCCTGCCAATCCAAGTTATAAATTAGCAACAGTTTTTTATGGCTTTTCTGCTTGTTGTACATAAAGGCTATTTGTTTAGAAAGATTTTTACCTTAAGCAAAATATTCCTTTCATTGATATCTTGTGTCGATTCTTCTTTAAAATGAGAAATCACACAGTGATGTCTGAGTTTGTTACTGTGAATGGCTGAGGGCTGGAGATTGTATTTCATTATCCTGATTATATCTTATAAATTTTGTACCCTTTTGGGAAATGTTATATTCAGGACCCTTGTTTGTTCCTTGGGATTTCACACATCATGCATGTATTTTTTTCCTTGAAAAATATCATTGTGATTGGCATGAGTTTGTCTTCAATTATTGCTTTACCTTCAACGCAGAAATGAGCCATCAATGTTCAGGGTGCTGCTGTCCATGTTTTCTCCTTTCCTTGCCTGTACTGCCCCGAGATCTTCTTGCATTCACTGACACAGTGCCACCCTTTTATTGCCATTGGATATCCACTGCAAGGTATGCACACCATTACACACAAACTGTATATACTGCTCACCACAGGGCCCTGGAGAGGCTGCTAGCTACATGTCAATCTCCTGATGCTATATTAGGCAGCTACCCTAATCCTGTGCCAACGAAGTTATGGCTGTCATTCCCATCACATTCCTGAAGTCAAACTGTGACCTATGCAAGCATATACTAAGCCCTATGCCGGTCTCTCTCTCTGTCTCTCTCTTAGTCTCTCTCTCTCTTTCTCTCTCTTTTCCATTATTTCCATATCTTATATCTGCAATGAAATTGACATACCAAAAATTATCTCTGCAGACAGTGTGCATGGAGCTTTCTCAACCTGCCTTGCTCACCTCTTTGCTTTCTCAACCTGCATTGCTCAACCTGCAGTCTGCAACTCTTTGTGGCCATGGACAGAAGCTCAGACCGAGAGCTCTCTGCGATTCTGTGATTCAGAGACCGAACTTGTGTGTGACCATCTCCTTGAACTCCTTGATTTCTAGCCTGAGAAATGAAAGTGTGAAACAAGCTTCACATAAAATATTTAAAGAACAAACTTTATTCATGAAAATAAATGAGAAGATGATGAACTTCTAAAGGAATTTTGAATATTCTTTTCTTAGCAGCTTTCAAAAAAACTTCGCATTAAATAGTACTGTGTCTTTAACTTCATTCCTAAACCCTGTATCTTAGTATGAAAATTTGCTAGTACCCATGCTTTTAAAGTAAATATAGCTTATGCGCATAGCAGATATTAAATTGCTATTTATCATTGGATTTGCCTGCAAAGTAAACAATTTTTGGTCCTTTTCTGATTTCTACGGAAGAAGCCTTGGAAGAGAACCTATATCACTGCAAAAACATCCACTAAAAATCATAATCTCCCTTACGTCAGAACACTGAATCTAAACATTTTTTAGAAGAAAGCTTACTCAAAATTAAACATTTTTCAATTTCTGTACATGAATAAAAATTAAGAAGATTTTCTGCATAAGGCAGGATTCCTTTTTTGGAATAAAGCTAAGCTATATAGAGAAAAATTCACCTCAATTATCATAATGATATTGCATCTCTTTGTGTTCATATGGTGAGAATTATCTTAGATTATCTTTGATCCAGCTTTTTTTTTCTATTCGTAAGAGGAAAATTCAAGGAATGTTGTTTAAATAAAATATTGGTTTTTTTTCTAATGCATGCTGACTTCTGTTACTGAACTGCTGGCCTGAGGATTTCATCAAAATGTTAAAGCATCCAGTAGGAGGCAATTGAAAAGTGTGTGACTCACTCTTAAGCCTATTGCTTATTTTTATGTACAATAAGGAGGCAGAATTGAAAGGGAGAATGTAGAAAAGAAATTGATAGTGCTCTGCCCAATAAGGCGAGACACTAATTCCATGGTGAGAGAGGCAATCTTGCAAATTATCACGGCTTAAACTATATGTTTCTTCTCATCAACACAGGCTTTACTGATTCTGAAAAATTAATGTTTTCCCATGGGAGATTTGTAAGGCTAAGCAGGTGGCTCATAGGTAGCAAAGAGGAATATTGAAACAAACTGGTGGAAGTCAGTGCTGCTGGATGTAGCGTGATGAAGGTCAGGGTGAAATTCAGTCTCATGGGTAGGGATTAGGCTTTCTAGAAATTTGATTACTAGTTATAGAAACGGGTTAGAAGAAGAATTTTCAGAACGATGTGGGCATGAAGGGAATGAAGCAAGATTAAACACTGGGCATATCTGATTCTGCGAAGGGTTTAACATCTTGGGTGAATTTTTCATGAAAAAACGAATATTGCAGTGTTTATTTTATAGAATTCTCTGTATCACACCTATTAAAACATCTGGTATATATTCACAACCCATGGGTGATATTGTGAAGGATGAAGAAAAATAAACATGAGGGGGAAGTGCGGTCCGTTTCACTGAAGGGAGAGGCCTCATCAGCTGGACTGTCAAACTCATCTACGGACCCAGAGATGTCCAAATGGATCACACTACCTAGATGAAGAACCTGCTCAACTGATCATAAATGAGGCATATTTTAAAGGTTGCCAAGTTCTGTGCAATGTTCTGAGGATACTGAGAGCAACAGAACCTGGTTGTTGAGATTCCTTACCATATGATGTAACTCATGTGATGGGCTGCAGTGAAACAGAGCAGGTCACACGCCCAGGAAGGATCCACATGATTCATATGCAATGCCAGCTTCCTTGTGCTGAAGAATCCTCACATATTTGACTCACCTTTCACAAACAAGCATGGGCCACACAGTGGTGGGGTCTGGAAGCCATGCCTGGGATATTTGATGAATTCTCACTAGAAGTACATATGCTGTGCAGTTGTGCTTCTCATCTGCATCAGTGTCTTAAACCCCATCAGCGCCGTATTGGATTGGGAGTGTCCTGTGAGTTCGTTTATCAGGCTGTGATAACCTCAGAGCTCCACTGGTGGCAGCTCACCCGCATTCTCTCCTCGGTAGCCTCTCCAGGGGTGCCAGGTGTTGAAACGATCAGAGAGCCAGACAGAGCTCAGCAGCACCAAGGACACACAGTACTGAAGGGACACCTTCCAGGGAGGTAAATGAGAAAAGACATTAGATAAAGCCTTTCCCATTATGTCCCTGGAGAAGATGACCCAACAACAGGGAGGGAAGGCTAAAGCTTAGGTTACACTGTGGCCTTAGGAACGCAGAGTTACATGGGGAAAGAACTTCAGGATTAGATTTCCCATGCCATCGATTCTCTCTTTCTCTTCCTAGGACCCAATCAGAAGACTCAGTAGAGTTTCTCAGTGGAACTAGATTGCATCTACCTAGGGAAGGGTAAAATATAAGATCCTCTTAATGACAGTTATTGGGTCAACAGTAGCAAATCTCCAAAGAACTCCGAATTATTCTAGCAAAACCTACATAGGAATGAAATAACCAGAGAAATGGTCAGAAATGAAAATGTACCTAATCTTAAGTGGCATTAAGGGCATTAAAAGTCTTCAGTGATGATAGGTGATAATAAGATGGAAAGTGAGATATCTTGTCAAATACTGAATGTTGAATTGAGATGCGGGCCAGTTTCCTCTTATCTCCTTAAGACACACAACACATGATCTCACCGCTGCATGACAGAGCACAGCTGTTATATTTTCCAGTGCTCCGTTCCTGAAGACCCATGCTGGCCTCCAGCTCATTAATACTCTTGTGTCTACTCGTTCCTGACATTGTTTGCTATGCAACCATTTTAATTATTTACAGGGCCTATAGAATCAGTCTACTGTTTACTTTTATCCCAACTATCACTTTTCACTTTTTCTCACCTACGCTTTATTCTCTTTGGCAGAGAATATGAAAAAGACACATAATTCCCAGTGTAGTTATGTTCAAATGAGTCACACATGCCACCTCCTTTTAATTCCAAAGAGTTTACCACTTGTCATTGCAGAGTGTTAGAAAAATAAAAGTATCGAAGTCTTAGGAAATCATCATGAAAAAAATGGGGCTTTTGATTTTAGAAGAAAGAGTGTGTACTAAAACTTTGATCTCTTTTTCTAAACATAGAGAAATTACAGTGAAAATGGAATAAATACTAACTACAACTGAAAACAAGAAAAAAATGATTCTCTATTGTGATTTTTTTTTTTTTTGAGACTGAATCTGGCTCTGTCACCCAGGCTGGAGTGCAGTGGAACGATCTCTGCTCACTGAAACCTCCCCCTCCCGGGTTCAAGTGATTCTCCTGCCTAAGCCTCCCGAGTAGCTGGGACTACAGATGCCCGCCACCACGCCTGGGTAATTTTTTTATTTTTAGTGGAGTAGGGGTTTCACCATGTTGGCCAGGCTGCTCTTGAACTCCTGACCTCAGGTGATCCACCCACCTTGGCCTCCCAAAGTGCTGGGATTACAGGCGTGAGCCACTGCACCCGGCCTGTAATATCTTATATATAAAAAATATATAAGTTTTCATTCATGGTTCCTGGCTTATAACTCCCATAGCTCCAGCTGTGGTCTTTTGTTATAATGTTGGGGCAGTTAGGCCTCAGAAAACAGAATCTCTCTGGCCTTTTCCTGCTCTCTTCTCACCAGCCCAAGCGGGACTCTGATCTTCCCCTGCCTTTCTGATCTGGGGTCATAAAACTGTCATTCCAGAGAGGGTCTGGTCCTGTACCCAGGAGGATGGAACGCTGCACAGAGAGGCCAAAAGGAATCTGAACAGGCAGGCCTTGCTAGGTTTCCCCACTCAGTCTATTAGTGTTAGATCATACCCTTGTGTTCCAATCATATTTCTACATGGTTGCCCATGCTTTGATCTTGCCTAACCAATGAAGCTCTATAAAAGGCCCCAGAAAACAGGGTTCAGAGAGCTTCTGGATAGCTGAGCACATGGAGGTTCCTGGAAGGTACTGTACCTGGGAAGGGCAGGGAAGATCCTCACCCCTTCCCTGATATCTCACCCTCCACATCTCTTCATCTGTATCCCTTGTAGAATCCTTTAAAATAAACTGGTAAGTATAAAAAGTGTTTTCCTGAGTTCTATGAGCCACTAGCAAAATAATCGAGCCCAAAAAGGGGGGTTGCAGGAACCCCAACCCTACGCCAGCATTTCCAGAGGCCCTGACTTGTGACTGGAGCCTAACTGGGGCGGGGGGTGGGGGGGTTTGGGAGGGCAGTCTTTCTTGGGGACTGAGCCCTCAACCTGTGGGATCTGATGCTACCTCTAGGCTGACAGTGTCAGAATTGAACTGGAGGACACCCAACTAGTGTCTGCAGCAGAATTGATTGGTCACTTGGTGTGTGGGGAACCCTCTCCCCACAACAGAAGTCCCCCATGTGGATTATTGCTATTGAGTGAGACAGTAGGAAATAGGCACATTGAGTGTTGTTTATGCCACTCTCAAACTATGAAAAAAACCCAGAAGATCCTGAATCAGGGCACCAACACCACCCATCTGAGACTGAAGACCAAAGCTGCTCCAGCAAGGATGGAGCCAGAAATCCACTAGCCAAGCAGGCTGTGAGGCCGGTGCCACACCTCACCAGGGTCAGGGGTTGTGCTAGAGAATAATCCAGGAGGGACTCGCAAATGAGAACTGTGCAGAAGTTATGATCAAAAGATGTATGGAAACTAACACTCTTAAAACACACACAACAAACTCTAAAATCAGAACAATTTACAGCTTAAGAGATAGAAATACTCTGGGAGGCCAAGGCAGGTGGATTGGCTGAGCCAGAAGTTTGAGACCAGACTGTGCAACATGGCAAAACCCCCATCTACAAAAAATACAAAAATTAGCTGTGTGGTGGAGATGCCTGTAGTCCCAGCCACTGGGGAGACTGAGGTGAGAGAATGACCCGATCCCAGGGAGGTTGAAGCTGCAGTGAGCTGTGCCACTGTGCAGCCTGGGCAACAGAGTGAGATCCTGTCTCAAAAAAAGAAGGAAAGAAGGAAAGAAGGAGAGAGAGAGAGAAAGGAAAAGAAAGAAAAGAAAAAGAGAAAGAGAAAAAGAAAGAAGGAAAGAAAGAAGGAGAGAAAGAAAGAGAGAAAAAGAAAGAAGATGGACTACCACATCTCAAAGAATTTAAAATATAAGTGTTAAGGAGACCATAAAAGGAAAAATATTATTTTGAAACAAAAATAGAAAATGCTGAAACAAGGCAAGCAAAAGTTATGACAAGATGCCCATAGAAATCTTATAAAATTAATACATTATAGCAAAAATTTTAACATGATAACTGAATATCAGACTAACGAAAATAAATTACTAAACCAGATTTAGTTCTGAGAATCACCCAGAAGTAACATACAAAGATTTTCTTTTAAATAAAGAAAATTAAAAATTGATAATTTGCAACAGTTTCTCTAGGTATCATATCCCGGTTTTATGAAATTCTAGAGGTAGGTGTGCTATTGTTTCTCCATCCTCCAATTCCTATTTTATATCACCCCTTGGAAATCTTTCTTTTTGTTCTCTAATTTTTATTTTTTGACGTATTTTGGGAGCTCATAGAGCTCCCCTCTCTTTCAACAAGCTCCATCTAGTAGGCCCAGTAGATTCCAATCACATTAGGTGAGAATTATCAGAAGATTTATTCAAGAGGATTATTTTTTTCTCTTCAAAACTGTCAGAGGTGTTGGAACCAGAGAGACTCCCTCTTGAACAGGGGCTGGGTAAAATGAGGAAGCTGCTGGGATGCCTTCCCAAGAGGCTAGGCATTCTAAGTCACAGGATGTTTATAGTGAAGGGAACAGGTTAACAAGGTTTACCAAACAGACCCAGGAAACAACAGACCCAGGAAATGTCCCGATGTCCCAATATATTAGGAACAAAAGCATTTTTAGTTTAAGAAGAAGTTTCCCTTTAAAGATAATAATAGAGATTTTTGTGGCAGACAGTAGTTACACGACGGTTAGTCCCTTGCCGTGATGGCCGCTTGCGGGTGGTCCGGAGCAGCCGCTGTCGTCACGCTGGCTGCAGCAAGGAGGCGTGGGTGGTGGCGGCACGAGCTGCTGCGGGAGCGGCAGTGGCGGTGGTGGGTCCCCTATGTCCTGTGTCCCCAAGGCGGCTGACTGTGCCACCCCTATCCTTCCGCAGCCGGCAGAACCCGCTCCCAGGCACGGAGCCTCCATTGCTCTGGACCCTGGTCCCATCGCCGCTCTCATCTGCAGCAACTGCTGGGAGGGTGCAGGGAGGAGGTGGAGCTGGGCCTGAGGCAGTGCCATCCTCCACGGAGCCGCTGGGAGCCAGGGACAAGGACAAGAAGGAGCACCCTCTCCCCAGGCCCCCAAAGCCCACCACCCTGAGGGCCACCGCAATGGGGCTGGGCCAAGCTACCCTCCAGCACAATCCGGCACTGAGGGGCAGGCAGAGCATCCGGACCCCCTACCCCAGGCTGTGAGGAGGCGTGGCCAGGGCTGTCTGCAAGCTCCAGGAGGCCAGGGGAGCCCCACCCTCCCAGGCACGGGACTCTGGCATTTCTGCTCTCTGTACCCTCGAGGACCCGGAAGGCCCTCCCGCGAAGGCTCAGGGTTGTCTGCTCCCACTGCCTAGCCGCTCGCCACTCCTGGCACCCACTCCAATCTCAGAGCAGGGTTGGGGCTGAATGAACCCTGGAGCTGTCACAGGCCGGCTGGGTGTAGCCGGGTGTGTGCACGCTGTGGGCAGCACTGATACACCAGCCCCCTGCTGCCTCGGCCCCCTCCAGACTTTGAGCATCCAGGAGCACAAAGGCTGGGTACGGGGGAAGCTGAGTGGTGGGGGGCTGAGGGCAGCTAGGTGCTGGCCTGCAGGTGCCCCTGGGGGCTAGCAGCCTGGGCGGCATGGACAGTGTCAGGAGGCAGACAGACTCCTGGGTGGAAGGGGTCAGGTCCCCCAGGGAGGGTCCGAAGGCTAGGGGCCAGGCTGCTGGTGGAGTGGGGTCTTGTGGTGCCTTTTCCAGACCTGCCCATGGCCACCCATGGACCAACTGGCACACACTTCCTCTCCTCTGAGGTCCATAAAAGCCCTGGGATCAGCTACAGCAGGGTAGATCAGAGGATGGAGAGGTGACAGGATGATCAGCAGCAGAGAGGAGTTACACTCTCTGCTGAGAGCTGCAGAGGCAATGGGATGACCTGCTGCAGAGAGGAGCCACCACTCTAGGGCCTCTTCTCTGCTTAGAGCTGCAGACAATGGGAGGACCCGCAGCAGAGAGGAGCTACCCTCAACACTTGTTGAGATGACCTCTAGCAGAGAGGAACTACCCGCTCCCTAGGAGCTGAACACTTGTCAGGACACTCCGGCTGCAGAAAGAAGCTCCCCACTGCAGGTCCCCTCTGAGCTGTTCTATAGCTCAATAAAGCTCTTCTTCCTCTTACTCACCCTCCACTTGTCTGCATAACTCACTTTTCCTAGTCACAGGACAAGAACTCGTGACCCAACGAATGGCAAAGCTAAAAGAGCTGTAACACAAACAGGGCTGAGACATGCCCCTTGCTTGCTCCCTACATTGCAGGTGAAGAGAAGGAAAGAAGAGCTGTGGCCCTTTGGGGATCCCAGACCTGGGAGCTCCCCCACAGGGCTGTGACTCCCTCTTTGGGGCCCTGCAATCTCCAAGCTTCCAGGCACCACCATGGTCCCCAGTGCCAGCTGTGGAAGCTGCTTGCAGTGCACCTGGTCTGGCCACAGCCTTGCAAAGAACCAGCACCCATGCCGGCACTTGGAGCTGCCCACCCCACTGCAGCAACCAGCCTGTCTGACTGTGTGCAGTGGCCAGACCTCACACTTGCTCACATACCCTTCACCGCTCCCACCTTACTCGCCCTTGGGAGACATGGGATCAAGGCCAGTAGCGTCAGCCAAGCACAGCCTGCAAGGCCAAGTAGGCAGAATGAGCCCAGTGGGCCCCACCAAATCTCAAGCAAAGGCGCCACTGGTCACAGATGTTTCCGGTCAGAAAAGTGACACCCCAAAGATCCCCTAACAGTAGACCTTCCCCACAATTGTTTTGCTTTGTTTCTTATATATAAACAAGCATTGTACCTAAGGTGGACGTAATTCTTCCTTTTGCTTTTGGGAATGTCCTGCTCTGCCTATGGAGTGGCCATTCTTTCATTCCTTTACTTTCCTAATAAACTTGCTTTTGCTTTACTCTGTGTATTTGTCCTGAATTGTTTTTTGCACAAGATTCAAGAACCCTCTCTTGGGGTCTGGATTGTGACCCTTTTCTGATAAAACAATTTAATGTTTTATATTGAAATGTGCTAATGTTGAATTTGTAAAGATACTATCAATAAAGAAAAATACAAACAATAATTGTTTTTAATCTACTGAAATCTATCGAGCAATAACCACTCAACAATTTGGTGATCATCTTTCCACCAAAGACACACGCATATGCTACACACACAAATTTACACAAGTAAATAACATTATAGCTATGATACTATACTCTAATTTTCCTATTCCCTAAAGCTTTTTCTCACATCAGTAACAGATAGCTGCCTCAACTTGAATGACTATAAAAATTCATTTTATGAATAAGTCAAATTATTCTTAACCCATTAATAGAAATATTTTTCTTTAAGAGTTTACATTAATGAACAATCACTTTAAACTATCATCTCAACTAAGACACTTATTTCATATGTATGGTTCATTCATATGTGTATAATCTTGGTTATTTCCCTGCTTTATAAACGCAAAGGAACATAGTTATATTCTTATGTCTTTTCCCAGATTATTTTTACATCACTGTGAAAGGAAAACCTTTTTATATTACTTGTTAAAAATTTTTCTGATGGTCATAAGTTTGGGATTAAGCTTTCAATTTTGGGGCTTTCCTGCCCTCCATCAGGCTCATTAGATCAGATGTATTTCACTGCCATCATTTTCTTTTTTTCTTTTCTTTTTCTTTGGAGATGGAGACTCACTCTGTCACCAGGCTGGAGTCCAGTGGTGCGATCTCGGCTCACTGCAACCTCTGGTTCCCGGTTCAAGCTCCCGGTTCTCCTGTTCAGTCTCCTGAGTAGCTGCGGCTAGTGTTCTAATCTTTGCAAAGGTAGTTCCAAGAAGAGGAAAATAGTTCTGTCTAAAAGAATTCTTTGGAGTATTTATAGTTTCAGAAAAATAGAAATTTATGTGTAAAAACTGAAACTAAGGTAACATATTATTAACTAAAACAACCAGATAGCAAAACATATTTTAGAGATGAAGCATTACATTTTAGAGGACGTAGAACAATTTTTCCAATCAAGGTGAGTGTCCTAAAAGTTTGCATTATTAAGGAAAGTTCAAGGGGACGATTTTATAAAAATTATAAAGAAAAGAAGTGCAACACCGTACATTTTCTCAAGGCCCATAGTTTTGTGAATGTTTTCCTACATCATTTTATCAAAAAGGTTCTGACAATTCCAAATGCTATTTACTGCTATGGTGTTACGGGAAGGGGAAATCTTTTCTCTTTCATTTTTCTGAGATTCCTAATTGGTAGCAATTGTTAATAAAAAAGGCAAAAAATCTTAAGACTAAGATCTGGAGATAAGCAAGTTTTCACAGAAAGAAACTTAAAACTTTGAAAATAGTGAAAAGCGCAGGAGGAATTTTAACAAATGCAAAATGAGGAATATAATAGGATGTTTTTACTTGCAACCAGGAATTAAAATGGAGGAGAAAGTAAGTTGTTTCTTACCTCTATCAGTTTCAAGTTTACTTAGCGTTTTTGATTTGGAGAAGAAAGGAAAAGATATACGTCAGAGATCTTTTAGGTAAAGCAAAATGAAACAAAAATATGTATGAGTTATGGGAAAATAGAAGAAAGAAAAAGGAGGCCGCAAGCAGTGGCTCACGCCTGTAATCCCAGCATTTTGGGAGGCCGAGGCGGGCAGATCATGAGGTCAGGAGATCAAGATCAGCCTGGCCAACACGGTGAAACCCTGTCCCTAGTAAAAATACAAAAAAATTTAGCCAAGCGTGGTGGCGCACGCCTGTGATCCTAGCTACTCGGGAGGCTGAGGTAGGAGAATTGCTTGAACCTGGGAGGTGGAGGTTGTAGTTAACAGAGATCGTTCCACTGCACTCTAGCCTGGGTGACAAGAGAGAGACTCCGTCTCAAAATAAATAAATAAATAAATAAATAAATAAATAAATAAATAAATAAAACAAGAAAGAAAGAAAAAGGAAAAGATGTGGAAAAGGTAGAAATAAGTCAGTGTATTCCTGCGGGACTACATAAGACAAAAGGACAAGCACTTCTCTCTTTCCTTCTCCATCACAAACAAACCTTTCCGTCAGATTTAGTGTAAGTTTTATCAAACTGTATGTCACAGAATAGTCAGAATATCCTGTAGCTGGGAAATTCCTTTTATTCTGTTTTCTTTTGTTGAAAGCAAAACTCGTATCACGTTATTAATGCACAATTTCCTGGGTTAAAATTAACTTTGGGGACTCCCTGCCAAAGGAATTCAAGCCCCGCTCTATGGAAGGAAAAAAAAAGAAGTCAAATTCCCTTCTCTGCTAGCTCAGAAGAGGAATGATGAAGGTACGTGCTGAAGCCGATCTGTCGGCCACGTGCTTTTAGCACCAAGTGGTTCTTGTGCAGTCTGTAAACACAGGCAGGGTCCTGTGACCTTTGCCAGCTGTATTTCCATCAAGACTTTCTCCATTCTTACCTGAAACACCTTGTGAACCCAATGGCTGTTTACACACAAAGAGTCGTGGGTCTACTGACACCAATTGGTAAAAATGGTAGCAATTGACTGGTTATTTAACTGGCTCTCTAGAAAGACTATAGCACATGGTGGTGCCATCAGAAATCATAAGCATCACAGACCTCTCTAACACAGTTCTAATAATAATTTCAACCATTCTTTATCCTATTGATTCAGCTCCAGGGTCTTTATTGCAAGCTACTTGTTAGTGAAGAGGAATCTGGTTGTCGGTGCCCCAATAGTGCCATCTGCCGGCCGATGTTAGGTATTTCACCTTAATTCGGAGTCCTGTTTCAAGAGCGGGATTTCAAAATCAAGAGTACTACTGGAAATGGAAATATCATTGCCCTACCAAAATCAGAAATTAGAAGACCTCTAGACACTTTTTTTCCCCAAAGTCATGAACATCTTCCTGTAAATGAAAATTCCTGTAATGGTACACAATTTGTAGATGTGAAAGAATCCTCTAAAATGATCTAGTTCAACCTCTTCATTTTACAAATATTAGAACTAAAGCCATAGAGACAAAATAATTTATTCAGGACCACACAGGCTATTATTAGTGGAACCACTGTTAGAACCCCGGTATTTTGCTGATTCACACATAAGTGCTTTTTAACATGCTATAAGCAGGAAAGATATTTATAGTCTTTCCCACTTCCTCATCTGAGGCCACTATGAAAGAACACTACTATTACTATTACTTTCCTACGCCTCCACCATGAGAACAGTCACACACACACACGCACACACACACACACACACACTCTCATAGTCACAAAAGGATATTCTACTTATAATCAGAAATCCTCTTGAAACAAGAATTAACATTCAAAATGTGAAAACCTACAAAAATAAAATTATTAAAAATAATTACAGCCTTTTTTTAAACTTTATTCTGACAAGAGCATTCTAAAACCTTCAGCAAATAGATATGTCAGCAAGTAAACAGTTTTAAAAATGGAACTAGGCCAGGTGTGGTGGCTCACACCTGTGATCCAAGCACGTTGGGAGGCCAAGGCAGGAGGATCACTCAAGCCCAGGAGTTTGAGACCAGCCTGGGCAACATGGTAAAACCTTGTCTCTACAGAAAATATAAAACTTAGCTGGGCATGGTGTCACATGCCTGTAGTTTCAGCTACTTGAAGGCTGAGGTGAGAGGATCGATTGAGCCCAGAAGGTTGAGGCTGCAGTGAACTAGGATTGTATCTCTGCATTCTAGCCCGAGAGACAGAGCAAGAACCTCAAAAAAGTAACTAAACTTTATTTTTGTATAATTAAACAAATTTGGTTAGGGCTCCATTTTATTCCATAACATGAAGTAGGGTGTGTGAATATGATAGCTGTGACACAAACTATGCTGGCGGTGTAAGATTTCTGCTCTACGGAAGGTAGCTAAATAGACATGAGGGACCAAGCAGAGTGGGTTCTCCACTGGGAGAAAATGTGAACTGGCTAACATGTAATGACCTTTTCACTATAATTTCATAATTCAATTTTTCTGCACAGTACTGATATGGGAGGGGGCAAGGAAGGGCTGGGAGGAGAACGGCGGGTCCCTGGGGAGGGCTCCACCCCTGGACCTGTGCCCATGGAACTAGGGGAGAACAGGCACTCCTGCTTTCAGGTCCAAATGTTGCATTTCCCAAGACCACCCTGGCCCACCATGTCCCCATCCTGTGCCTATAAAAACCCTGAGACCCTAGTGCGCACGGACACAGCAGCTGGACATCGTGAGAAACACATCAGCAGGAGAACACAGAAGCGGCTAGACATCAAGAGGAACACTTCGGTTGAAGAGCACACCGAACGGCACCAGCAGACGCCGGCAGGCCATTGACCAGTGGAATGAAGCGGAGTTTAGCTGGAGCTGTCAGAGGAGAGTCACGCCGCTGAGCTGACTCCATGGGAAAACCACCTTCCCGCTCCCCTTCTGGCTCCCCATCCGTCTGCTGAGAGCTATTTCCACCATTCAATAAAATTTGGCACTCATTCTCCAAGCCCATATGTGATCTGATTCTTCTAGTACACCAAGGCAAGAACCCCGGGATACAGAGAGTCCTCCACCCTTGCTATAAGGCAGAGGGTCTAATTAAGCTGATTAACACAAGCTGCCAACGGACGGCTAAACTGAAAGAGCGCACTGTAACACACGCCCACTGGAGCTTCAGCTGTAAACATCCACCCTTAGACGCTGCCATGAGGTCGGAGCCCCACAGCCTGCCGGTCTGCAAGCTCCCCCTAGAGGTTTGAGCAGCTGGGCACCGTAGAAGCGAGCCACACCCCCTTCGCACACCCTGTGAGGGGGCTAAGGGAACTTTTCCCACTTCAACACATAATCTACTTTGGATGTAATTTAAATTAGTTCATTAAATGGGGAAGCAGGAGCTGAACAAAGAGTGCCATATAGGAAGTTACAATAGATAGAACGAAATTGTTTCATAATGCTTTTATCCCCTGAAATAGTTTATATCATTTCTGTAAGATTTTTTTCACTACATTCATCCATTTCTCCTTTCCTCTTATTCAAAACCACCGTGTTATACCATCCTGTCTCACTGTGGAAATATTCCTTTTCTGTGGCTTAATAAAATTGATTTAGCACTCAACTTTCCATTCTTTCTGCCCACATTTCATAATTTTTCCTCATATTTAGGTAAGATTGGAAAGAATGAGTCAGAACGTTAGACACCTAGAATGGGTTGCTTACACCTCCTCCCTTTAAGTCCTTTATCTTTGCCTTTATTGTATGCTAACCACTCGCCTCTTTGTCCTATATGCTAGAGATCCACAGCTCATTTCCTATGCCATGATTCCTGGTCCCCATGTTATTTCTCTTCTTGCAAATCATCAGCTGTTTCCCTTCTTTGCTCCCAAATCAAATTAGATAGTCTGGCATGTAGCTAGTTCTTTTAGCAGGCAGCCTCACCACCAGTCAGGATATCTGAGCTAGGGTCAAGGAATAGGGAAGAGCTACTCAACACAGCCTCAGATGATAATGATGACACAGACCTAAATGTGTATGTGGGAACCAACGAGTTCTAGCCCTGGAAATACAACCCTAGAATTGGGTGAACGTAGCTAGACAGGGTTTTCTTTTCTCCCACAATTGCACATAAGATCTAAGACCTTACTTAGTCTGTTAAAGGAATGAATGTGTGAATGTATGTGTTGTGTAATTTGGCTCATTAAGCAATTCAGTTTATTAAGTATAACATTGATGCTGATTATTGGACCTAAAAGATGTAAAATGAAAAAACAAAATTGGTTATGTACAGACACACTGCATTTCACTTAATTAAAAAATGCATTTGGCAACCTACATGCCTGAAATACAGAGCTAATAATGTAGATTTCTGTCCACAGGAGTTCACAGTATAGTGTTTATGTGAATTTGGGCTGGGGAGGGTTACATGAACAAATTCCAAACCACTATTTTAAGCTTAATAATAATTATGTTCTAATGAAACTAGTGATAGGAAACAAGAAGAAACCAGTGCAGTTAGGTTGGATTAAGGAGAATATCCCAGAATAGAGGATAACAGAACTATGCTGGTAAGAATGGAATGATACACAGTTTTCTTTTTCTGAGAGCCTATCACAGACCTGATAGTAAGATACTTTGTGCAAATTATCTCATTTAATTCTTACAATAATCAGAAGTCTATGAATTATTATAAATAATACAACTGAGACTCTGAGAATGATGAGATCAGAACAGCCACAGACTCTCGTCTCCAAAAATCATATGATTGTCCCACCATTATCTCTCAATGAGAGGCTAGAAGAGGAAGTGAAGGATGCTTACGCAAAGATATAGAAACACAAATCATAAAATAATTCTTTTAGCATTTTAGTGTTATGAAATGGCTGAAGTTTGACTGTGTATGAAAGGAGTGAGGATGCACGAAAACAGATAAAGACAGGAGGCTGGTGTTTTAAGGGCTTTGAACGTGTTGTCTTATGTCAGAGTTTCCTTTGTGCTAAGTGTGTGAATAGCCAGCATGGAGCATGCTCTAGGAAAACATTAGGCTGAGGACATGGAAGTGATGGGACTAGGCACCCATAAACCTATGCTTAATACATAGAAAGTAGAACTAAAGGTGTTACATATTCAAAGCCAAATAGAGAAGAAGGCAAAGCCAGGAGAAAACAGTGAAAAAATGGATGCAATTTTAATGAGGTAGAAGAGAAAGTCTAGTGAGAGAATGAAATGACAGATCTAGAAGTAAACATTAAATTGAGAGTGAGAGATTCATGTTTGAATGTTCAGAAGTGGGCAGGTAAGGGTGAAGGCAGGACCCAAGAGATGGTCCTGGCTGGTGAACCTGAAATCAAATGAAGTTGAACCACATGCATGAATGCTTTGAGGCTCGGGTGATAAATGGCTCATCGCTGAAGACTTTAAGCTCACCGAAGGTTGTAGTAGGCTTGGGTTGCAGGAAAAATGTACCCTTTCTACCAAATATTTCAGTGAATATTC
This sequence comes from Homo sapiens, assembly GCF_000001405.40. Classification (NCBI taxonomy): domain Eukaryota; kingdom Metazoa; phylum Chordata; class Mammalia; order Primates; family Hominidae; genus Homo; species Homo sapiens. The sequence goes on along the minus strand of NC_000011.10, from coordinate 124,067,300 downwards.
ATGCATGATTGTAAGAATAGATGGTTTAAAGGGACTAGGATAAGAGCTGCTTGGACTTCATCAGGAGAGAAGGTTTGGAAGACTAGAAGTAATGAACTGAAGAAGCTCAAACCTGGCTCTCTATGGGTGGGTTTTGGAAGATAGATTTACTTTTTCTATTAAGTTAATTTCAATATTTTTAAAATGGTAAACTTTACAAAAACATTTGCATTTCTGGGTTATTTGAAAAGTTGGAGACATTATCAACAATTAACTTGACAACCAATAGGTAATAACATACCTAGTTTTTTGAACGTACAGAATTTTAAGATTAAAAAAATACAAATTCTGTTTAAAGAAAAAAATCAGTTAAGACAGAAAGTGGAAGTAACATTCAAAAAAGGTAAGGTTGTATGAGTCTTTATTTACAACAAAATACAGGGAGAGTTATATTAGTCGGGATAGAATAGACTATGCCATGATAACAAGTAAACCCAAAGCTGTGGTGGATAAACACAACAAAGATTAATTTCTCAGTCATGAAAAGTTTTAGATGGAATGGGAGACTCCCTCAGTAGCTTCCAGAGTTCCCATGTCAGGGGAAGAGAGGACAGGAAGGTCACTTGGGTTGATTTTGTGAGCTGTCCTCCAGAGTGATTTGCATCACTTCACCTTATATCCATATCCCTTTGGCCAGAACCCAGTAGCGTGTTCCCAAAGCAACTATTAAGCAGTCAAAAATATTCTATTTGTTTTCAGGGAAATAAAATAAAACATAATTTGGTTTACATATAGCATTGCCTTTGTCCAAGAGTTTTTACAGAAGACAATAGGAAGAGCTGGGAAATGGATCATTAGAGCACGGGAGCATCGTGGAAACAGCACACAGCAGTTTGAGTATGTGAGTATGGACAGTGCAGAACTTAGGGATGGAGTTAGGGGAGGACTTGCATTCATGGTGATGATTGAGAATAACCAGGATAAGAACCATGGTAAAATTAAATAAAATGAACGCTTTATGCAGATGCAAACAGGTGATATTGGAGTCTTGGTAAGACTAGGAGAAAATAGCATGATCTGTGAAGAACTGAGATTAATAGAAGCTAAAAACATCTGCAGTATCTGATCTAGGTGATTCTGAGAGTAGAAACTTTCTATTTCATGCATAAATACTATGACGTTTTGAATACTATCAGCTTCAGAATACTTATATGTTTTTATATTCAGCAACTGTTTTTGCTTATGATTATAAAACAGGAAGAAAAGAAGAAACTCGCTATACTACTGCTGAAGAGTGACAAGCGGTGGAGGATGACACAGATAAACCTATATTTTAAATTTGTAATATCTAACTCTTCACAGACCCAAGGTAATTTAATATAACTAAAGTATGAAAGCCACTGATCTATATAAAATGGACTTTTTTATTAGAAATGTATTAATCACAAGAACAAACCAAGAAAAAAATTAAAATCTGAATAGATTAAGGTTCATTAAACAATTAAAAACCATTCTCCAAGAATTAGGTATAAAAATTATATTAGAATCAAATGACTTTGTAGTCTATTTCAAGAAACAGCTGATCCTCCTGTGTTTTTCTTTCTAGAGCATAGAATGTTTATCCAATTCATTTTATAAGGGTAACAAATCTGAAACTAAAACTAATTCCAAAAACATGCCACTAAATCCATAATTAAAATAGATGTGAACTCTGAATAAATTTCAAGCAAATGAAATATAAGAAATACTAAATGCCCCATCCCAATGACTATTCAGTTTGTTCTAGCAATCCACAGATAATTTAATACTGGTAATGCATTAAGTATTGAATAATAAAGTTGAGCATAGTAGCTCATTCCTGTAATTCCAGCACTTTGGGAAGGTGAGGTGGGAGGATCACTTGAGGCCAGGAGTTCAAGGTTACTGTGAGCTATGATCATGCTACTGCAATCCAGGCTTAACGACACAGTGAGATCTCGTCTTTAAAATATAAAAAATAAAAAATAAAAAAAGTTTAGTTTTATGAGATAAGCAGAAATTAAATTTCCACTTGTAATCCAGTAAATATCAGGTATATTAAAGAGTTTACTAAGACAAAAAAAAACCCTAGAACTCATTATTAAATATTTATCAGAGACGAGTTATAAGAATTTCTAAGTTTAAAAACAGTAGAAAAGGAGAAAAAAGATTAGTGCTCAGTAACATAAAAAAAGACTTCTGTACCTAAAACATTGTAAAGGAAAACAAAGGACAAATGAAAAGGTGAATGAAAAAGTAATGCATATGAGAAATTAATATTCTAAATTTATGAAGAATACAAAATAATGTAAAATTTCTTAGGGTCTCATTAAACATTTACAAAGGTCAATAACTGATTTTATACAAAAGAGGATATTCAAATAAATATATAAAACATATATTACCTCATTTGAAATAAAAATAATCATTTCAACAAGTTATTAATTTAATAACCTTTATGATAGTATTTTGCATAGTAAAGGGGGAATATATTTTTAGGAGCTGCTATAGCATTTCTCTAAAGTCTTGTGGCAGTGTGTATAAAACGAACAAAAAACCAATATTCTTTGACCCAGCAATACCACAGCTAAAAATATAATAGAGATGTGGTAAAATCTTTAAGCACAAATATGTTCACTGTGGAGTTATGGTTAATGGTGAAAAACTAAAATCAAATTATAAGCTTAGTAATATAGGAATAATTATGATTATCATATTAATTGATAAAATAGAATATTATGCAGCTTTTTAAAATTTCCTTATTAATATTTTATAGTGACAATGGATTTCTAGCGTAACAGCTTGAGCTCTGTGGAACTACTTTCTAGCAAAACTGGTGAAGAGAACCATTTAAAGTCTCTAAAAATAGCTCTAAGGATATATAGGAAAAAAAGAAACATTTACTTGAGAAAATCAATTACAATTTGGTAATAACAGACAGGGTTTCTGGTATTTGAACTGAGATCTGCTCCCTACCACCCCTGTCCAGCCCAGTGACATAGAAACTCTGCTCCAGACTGGAGCAGCCAAGAACACAAGGCTTTCTTTTTTCTCAGCTTCCAGTCAGAGGGCTATCTTCCCAGAAAGTGCAGGATGTCAGCACGTCTTATTCTTTCCCCAGCTACTTGTTGCTGGAGCTAAGTTTCAAGTTAGTATGGCTAAAGGTGAGGGGCTTCCTTCTTCTTGCCAGTCCTTACCTGTGAGATGGAAGATCAACCTTGGTTGTGACACTGCCGAAAATACAGGAGTCTCAGCTGACACTGCCCCAACCCATAAGGTCATGGTTCCACACTAGGAAGAATAAGCTAAGAAGAGCTGAGGCTACTACCCATTTCTCACTCCTCACTGAGTACTTAATTTCTACAGTGGGGGTGTCACTCAAAGACAAGCAGCCATTGTGCCCACTTCCAGCTTCAGAGCCCTGCCTCAGAGATTATGCCTAGGGGAAAAAGCAGAAAATGTAGGAAAGAAACAGCTGGAAGGAGCAAGCATAGATCAGGACAAATCTGAGACACTGATTGACCCTCTGAACTATTTCTATAAAAGACCCCAAATATGAGTGGGTTAGTCTACAGAACAATTTAGGCCCCAGGGCATTATTGAAAACAACACAACAATTTGTCAGCAATTAGTGGAGCTGAATGGCTAGCTGTGGCCAGGGAAAGAGACAATTAAAGAGAACCCTGCCCAAAACACTGTTATCTGAGTGTAGTGAGACTTGACACCACAGAGGACACAATAGACTTCACTAAAATTTTCTGGCCAGTCACTAAACAAACAAGCAAATAATAATAACATGCCCTGGAGGGAGATGAAAACCAGCACCCAGATGCTAAGATATATTCTCTATAATGCCTAGCTTTTAACAAAAAATTACAAGACATACAAAGAATCATGAAAGCATGGCCCATACATCAAGAAAAAAAGCAGGTTAGAAAACAACAACAGCTTGTGAGAGCAACCATGTATCAGATTTTAGCAACAGACAATGACTTTAAAATATCCATTTTAATTGTGTTCAAAGAACTAAAAGAATTCATGACTAAGGAAGCAAAAGAAGGTATGATGACAATGTTGTATCAAATAAAGAATATCAATAAAGAGAAATAGAACAAATAAAAATTCTGGAGTTCAAAATACAATAACTTAAATGAAAAATATTAAAGGGACTCAAAAGTAGATTTTAATTGATCAAAGAAAGAATTAGCAAATGTAAAGATAAAGATAAATCAATATAGAGCATGAAGCCAGAAAACAGAGAGAAAAATAATAAAGAGAAATGAACAAAGATTCAGAGAAATGTAAAACACCATTAAGCACACTAATATATGCTTAATGGGAATACCAGAAGCAGCAGAGAGAATGAGAGAGAGAGCATTAAAAGTATCAGTAGAAATAATGACTAAAAACATCCCAAATATATACAATGAAAAGCAACAATCTGCATATCCAGGAAGCTCAATGAACACTAAGTACAATAAGCATGAAGAAATCCAGATAAATCATAGTAGAAATATTAAAATCCAAGCACAGGAAAAAAAATGTGAAAAGCGTCAAGAGAAAAAAGACTCATCACTTACAAAGGTACCCCAATAAAATTAGTTTCTCATAAGAAACAACAGAAGCTGAAAGGAGGGGGAATAATCATTTCAGTGCTCAAAGAAAAAACTAAAAGTCAACCAAACGTCTATGTACAACAAAGCTATCTTCAAAAGTGAAGCTAAAAATATTCTCAGATAAACAAAAATTAAGAGACTTTGTTTCTAGCAGATCCACCCTACAAGAAAGAATGAATTTATTCAGACTGAAAACAAGTGACCCCAGAATGCAATCTGAATTCCCATGGAAAAAAAAAACTGGTAAAGGTAATTATGTAATTATAAAAGATAGTATAAATGCATATTTTCTCCCTTCCTTTAACTGGTTTAAAAGCAGTTGTAAAAAACAATGTGTATAAAAACAAACAAACAAAAAAAAACAATGTGTATGTAATTTAGGGCATATAACATATATAAATGTAATATATTTGCCAATAACAGTAGAAAAGAGGTGGGTGGAAGCAGAGCTGTATTGGGCTAAGATAATTACTCTAGACGGTAATTTGAATCCACAGAAAGAAAGAAAGAAAACCAGAAATAGTAAGTAAGAAGTTTATTATAACAAAAACTATGAATATATACTTGCTTTCCTTTCTTCTCTCAACTTTCTTTAAAAGACATGAAATTGGTGGGGTGAGAGAGCATCACGAAGAATAGTTAATGGATGGTGGGCTTAATACCTGGGTGATGAATTGATCTGTGCAGCAAACCATCATGGCATACATTTACCTACATAACAAACTTGCATATCCTGCACATGTACCCCAGAACGTAAAATAAAAGTTGAAGAAAAAAAAACTCTCCTCCATAAAAGTCAGCCATGATACAGGCATTATACTATAAAAAAGACATGAAATTATATAAAATAATAATTATAGCAATGCATTGTTGAATTATAATATCCATGTATGTAATAGGTATAAGAGTAATAGCACAAAAGAGGAAAAAAGAATAGCATTAGATAGAAGTGATGTTTTTGTATTGCTCTGGGGTTAACTTATTATAAATCTGAAGCTAATTGTGATAAGTTATGATGTAAGATGGGAGGCCCTTGAGATAATGACTCAAACAATACCATAAAAATCATTAAAGAAATTAAAATGCTACATTTGAAGTTAACGTAAAGAAAAAAAGTAAAGGAGAAATAGAGGAAAAAAAGATATAAAATGAGGCATAAAGAAAACAAAAAGTAAAGTGGTAGGTGTAAATCCAACTATATTAATATTAACATTAAATGTAAGTGAATTGACAATTCAATCAAGAGTCAGAGATTGTCAGACTGGACAAAAAATCATGATTCAACTACATATTGCTTACAGGAGACACACTTTAGACTCAAAGATACAAACATAATCAAAGTAAAAGCATAGAAAAATATATAATGTAAACAGCAACCGCAGGAAATCTAAAGTGGCTATACTAATAGACAAAATAGACTTTAAAACAAAAAAAATTACTAGAGCTAAACACAGATACTTTTTAATGATTAAAAAGGTGCCTCTGTCAAGAAGATATAAAATTATAATCATATGCACCGAATGACAGAACTACCAAAATACATGAAGCAAAAATTGACAGAAATGAAGGTGTAAAAAAGACAATTCAGGCCAGGTGTGTTGGCTCACGCCTGTAAATCTGAGCACTTTGGGAGGCTGAGGCAGGCACATCACAAGGTCGGGAGTTCGAGACCAGCCTGGCTAACATGGCGAAACTCCATCTCTACTGAAAATACAAAAATTAGCTGGATGTGGTGGCGGGCGCCTGTAATCCCAGCTACTCTGGAGGCTGAGGCAGGAGAATCATTTGAACCCAGGAGGCAGTGGTTGCAGTGAGCCAAGATTGCATCATTGCACTCCAGACTGGGCAATAGAGCAAGACTCCGTCTTGAAAAAAAAAAAAGGCAATTCAATAATAGCCTATTTTTAATAATGAACAAAATGACAATACAGAAGATCAAGGAAATAAAAGACTTGAACAACATTATAAGTCAACTAGACATAAAAAAAAATCTATAAAAACTCAACCCAACAACATAGAATACAGAGCCTTCTCAAGTTTACATGGAATGCTCTCAGGGATAGACCATATGCAAGTCCATAAAACAAATCTTAATAAGTTTAAAAGGATTGTGATCATACAAACTATGTTCCTCAAACAGAATGAAATAAAATTAGGAACTGATAGTAAAAGGAAACTTGGAAAATTAAGAAATATGTGAAAATCAAACAATAAGGAGTTAAATTAGAAAAAAACACACAACAGACAAAATTTATGTGATGCTGCTAATGTGGTACTTTGAAGGAAGTTCGTATTTTGAATGCCTATCATATGAAGAAAGATCTGAAATCAATAACTTAATTTTCCAGCTCAAAGAAATGAAAAAAGGAGCAAACTATATTAACAGCAAGCTAAATGAAGAAACTAATAAAGGTTAGAGCAGAAATTAATAAAAGAGAATTTTTAAACATAGAGAAAATCAATAAAACTAAAAGTTGATTATTTAAAAGGATCAACAAAACTTACAAGACTTTAGCTAGGTTGACCAATTTAAAAAGAAGAATCAAGTTATTAGAATCAGAAATGGAAAAGGAGACATTACTACCAACCTTACAGAAATAAAAAAGACGCTAAAGGAATAGTAACAGTAACTGTATCAATAGACTAGATAACTTAGATAAAATGGAAAAGTTCTTAAAAAGACACAACCTACCCAAACTGACTCATGAAAAAAGAGACAATCTGAATAGAGCTATAAAAAGTAAAGATATTAAATCAATAATCAAAAATATACCCACAAATAAAAACTCGGGACCACATGGCTTCACTACTAAATTCTACAAACTATTTTAGAAAGAATTTACACCAATTCTTCACAAACTCTTCCAAAAAAAACAGAAGAGGGAAAAACTTTTCTCAACACATTTTTCAAAAGCAGGATAACCCTGATACCAAAAATATCAAATCAAAGGAAAAAAAGAGAAGTCAATATCTCTTATGAATATGAATACAACAACCTCCAACAAAATCTTCCCACACTAAATCCATCAATATATAAAAAGAATTATATACCATGACAAAGTGAAGATTTATCCTAGGTACGCAAGTTTGGATTGACATTCAAAAATCAACTAATGTAATACACTATATCAAACAACAACATCAAAACCCCCCACCAAACCACATGATAATTTCAACAGACAGAAAAATCATTTGACAAAATCAATACACTTTCATGATGAAAAAACATTCAACAAACTAGGAGTAGAAGGAAACTTCTTCAACATGATCAATGGCATCTATGAAAAATTCACACAGCAAACATCATATATAATGGTGAAAGACTAGATTATTTGCCTCTAAGTGAAGAACAAGACAAAGATACTTGCTTTTAGCACTTCTATTAAACATTGTACTGGAATTTTAAGCCAAAGCAATTAGGCAAGAAAGAGAATTTTAAAACCCTAAGGATATCCCTAGAGAAAAGAAAAGGAAAACATAAAATTATCTCTACTTGCAGATGACATAACTGTGCATACAGATAATCCTAAGGAATCCACAAAAAAATACTAGAATAAAGGACTTCAGCAAAACAGGATACAAGATCTATATGCAAAAATCAGTTGATTGAATTTCTATATATTGGCTATTAAAAATCTTAAATGGAAATTAAGAACACAATTCCATTTACAGTAGCACCAAAGGAATAAATACCTAGGAATACATTTAAACAAGGAAGTAAAATCCTTGCACCTTGGAAACTATTAAACTAAAAAGAATTAAAGAAGATCTGGATGAATGGAAAAAGATCCCATGCTCATGGGTTAGAAGAATAAATATTGTTGAAACAACACGAATTTACAGATTCAATGCAATCCGTATCAGAATCCAGTTATCTTTTCTGTAGTTGATAAGCTGATTCTAAAGTTCATATGGAATTCCAAAAATCTGTCAAAACAATCCTGAAAGAAGTAGAAAGTAGGAGTAATTACACTTTCCAATTTCAAAACTTACTAAAAACCATGGTAATCAAGACTGTGACAGCAGCATAAGTATAGAAATATATGTCAATGGAAAAGAACTGAGAGTATAGAACAAAATCAAGACATGTATCTATGGTAAATTGATTTTCAACAACGGAGCCAAGACCATTCAATAGGAAAGAAGTCTTTCAGCAAATGGTCCTGGTACAACTAGATATTCGCAGGTAAGAGAATGAATTTGAACCCTTAACTCATACCATTTATAAAAACTACTCAAAAAGAATCATAAAACTAAATGTAAGAACTAAACTATAAAACTCTTAAAAGAAAACATGGGCATCATGACCTTAGACTTGGCAATGATTTCTTAGATATGACACCAAAAGCACAAATAACAAAAGAAAGATAAACTGGACACCACTGAAATTTAAAGCTTTTATGCATAAAGGGTACTATCAAGAAGGTAAAAAGACCATTCACAGCATGAGAGAAAAGACTTGCAAATTATATGTCTGAAAAGGATCTGGCATCTGAGAATATATAAAGAATCATTACAATTCAACAACAAAAAGGCAAACAAACCAATTAGAAAATTGACAAATTACTTGAATAGACATTTTATTTTCTGAAGAGGACATACAGATGGCCAACAAACATGTGAAATGATGCTCAATTTCATTCATCATCGAAAAAATTCAGATCAAAACCACAATGATACACTGTATCATAGCCACTAGAATGGCTACATAAAATTTTTAAAAAGTGTTGGCCAAGATGTAGTAAAAACAGAACACTTCTACTTTGCTAGAATGTAAAATGGTGCAGCCTCTGTGGAAAATAGTTTGGAGATTCCTCAAAAGAGCAAACATAGAATTACTCTATGATCCGGAGGTCAGGAGACTGAGACCATCCTGGCTAACATGGTGAAACCCCATCTCTACTAAAAATACAAAAAAAAAAAAAAATTAGCGGGGCGTGGTGGCGGGCGCCTGTGGTCCCAGCTACTTGGCAGGCTGAGGCAGCAGAATGGCGTGAACCCGGGAGGTGGAGGTTGCAGTGAGCCGAGATTGCGCCACTGCCCTCCAGCCTGGGTGACAGAGTGAGACCCCGCCTCAAAAAAAAAAAAAAAAAAAAGAATCACTCTATGATCCAGCAATTTCATTAGTAGGTATATATCCAAAAGAACTAAAAACAGGTGTTCAAACAAAACATACACACAAGTGTTAATAGCAGTACTATTCAAAATACCCAAAGGTAGAAATAACTCAAATGTTAATCAACTGATGAATGGAAAAACAAATTGTGGTGTACCCATGCAGTGAAATATTATTTGACATAAAAAAAATGCTAGAACATAGATTAATCATGAAAATATTATACTCATTTAAATAAGCCAGTCACAAAAGACTGGCTTTGAAGGTTCATATTATATGATTCAACTTTTATGTAATGTCCAGAATAAGCAAGTCTATAGATATAAAAAGTTGATTAGTGTTTGCTTACTAAGGGTGATGTGGGAACAGGGAGGTAATGGTTAAAGGGTATAGGACATTTTCTGTGGTGATTAAAATGTTCTAAGATTGACTGTGGTAAAGGTGGTACATATGTAAATATATGAAAAACCATTGAATTGTACACTTCAAATTCACAAATTATTTGGTGTGTGATTATATCTCAAAAAAGCTATTTAAAAAATTATGGCAATTGAAAATTCTTGATACATGATTAAAACAAGAAAATATATATATGAGCTAATCACAACTATAAATCTCTCTAAAATATATACATATATAGATACATAATATAAATATAGATATAGATATAGATGACATAGATAGAAATGAAAAAAATTTAAACAAGAAGTCAGAAACCCTAATTCCAATTTAATCACTAATGAGAGAGGTAGGAAAAATGACAAAATATTAACAGTGGTTATCTCTTGGTGGTAGGATCAGTGAGTAATTTCTACTCATTTTACTTTTTTGCAGTGTCCTAGTTTTCTTTGAAGCTATTTACATGAGAAAACAATGACTATTATTTTTGAAGGCCCATAAGTTCTGGAATTCAAATTTAGTCCCTGACTGAATGAAAGCAAACTTGTAATCCTCTTACAGAATTGAAATTGTTGTTATAAAGAAATAATATGTTTACCTGAGAGACAGCCTATACTAATACATCTTTTTGGATATATGGGTACTAATTGACTTCTAAAGAGATTTTATTTTCTTTCTTTTTTTTTTATTTTTAAGACAGTGTCTCTCGTTCCATCGCCCAGGCTGGAGTGCAGTGCTGTGATCTTGGCTCACTGCAGCCTCCACCTCCCAGGTTCAGGCGATTCTCCTGCCTCAGCCTCCTGAGTAGCTGGGACTACAGGTGCCCACCACCACGCCTGGCTAATTTTGTATTATTAGTAGAGACGGGGTTTCACCATGTTGACCAGGCTGGTCTTGAACTCCTGAGCTCAAGTGATCTGCCTGCCTCAGCCTCCCAAAGTGCTGGGATTACAGGCGTAGGCCACCATACCCAGCCAGATAATTTCTTGGTATCAGACTCAGACATATGTCATCCATCAAAATATAGACTCAAAAAAAGTTATAGAAATCAATGGAGCAAATTTAATGTACTAGATTTGCTGGCAAATTGAAGAATATTCTGTGTAAACCGAAAAGAAGCTCCTGAGAGAAGTATTTATGTTACCATTTAGACACTACAGAAGCAGCATTAGCACATGGTTAAGACGCTTTGGGTCACATTTTCGCCCAGCAAGTTTTTAACTCCATGACACTGCAGAAAGATCTCAGCCTCTCAGTGCCTTAATTTTCCCTCGTAAATCGAGATAATAGTATTATCTACTTCATATGATTATTATAATCATTACATGTATCAGTATTTGTAAATAGCGCCTGGTACTCAGTCATCAAACAAAATATAGGAGCTAATTGCCCCCAGATAAATTCAAGACAAAGCTGTAAAGACAGACCAGGATATAAAGCTTACCTTCCACAATTATGTACTCCTTGAATGAGCACCTTTCTCAGTGCCAGCTTTACACCTTTGTTTCTCAAAGTATATATCAAAGGATTCAGGGAAGGGATAACAATATTATTCAACACCTGAACCACAGAGTCCAGCCAAGGGCTGGAGGCAGGTCGGAGATAAATGAGGACTATTGGTCCATAGAAGAGCAGGATGGACGTCAGATGGGCACTGCAGGTTGAGAAGGCTCTGCGCCTACCTTCTGAGGAACTGATTTTCAGTATAGAGATAACAATGCAAGCATAAGAGGTGAGGATAAGAAGAAAACACATGAGCGCAACAACACCTACGTTGATGAAACTCACTGTCCGTGCTAGAGAGGTGTCTGCGCAGGCCAGGGGCAGCACCACCGGAATATCACAGAAAAAAATTGTCCACTTCATTGGGGCCACAGTAGGATAACTTAAAGATGAGGAGTGTGAGGACAGATGCATGCAGACAGCTCCCCGTCCAGGTGCCTAGCGTCAGGAGGGCACACACCCTGCGTTTCATGATGACCGTGTATGGCAAAGGGTGGCAGATGGCTGCAAATCGGTCATAGGCCATCACAGTGTACAGGAAACACTCGGTGCAACCCAGGAAATGGTGAAAGAAGAGCTGGGAGGCACAACCCTGGAAAGAGATGGTGCAGCTTTGTCCCACTAAGCAGAGCATCATTTTGGGGGAACTCACTGAAGGGAAAAATATGTCAAACACAGACAGGTTTCCCAGGAAGAAATACATGGGGGTGTGGAGGTTGGAGAAAGTGAGGACGGCCAGAAGAATGAGTAGGTTCCCCAGCAAGGTGAAGAGGTAGAAGGCCAGAAATAAGACAAAAAGCACATTTTCCATCCCCTTTGTATGAGGGATTCCCATCAGGGGGACCTCAGTTACTGGAGTGTGATTCTTTATCTTCATGTCAAATTAGTCCTGGAACATCAAACAATGGCCTCACTGAGATGAGTTTTTCCTGCAAAAAACTCTTTATAGAGCCTATCGCAAACTGATAATAAGTATATAGAGTGGAGAACTTCTAAATAAGACTCAGTTCAATCCTGTCATTAATTATTGAGTGACATTTGGGTAAGTTATTAATCTATTTTTCATCTGTTTCCTCATAAGTAAAATGAAGAGACAACACTAGAGTTGATATAGAAGAGAAGGTGTAGAATAAACTTTACAACTGGAAGTATCTGAGTTTACATACTAAACACGCTGCCCACTCTGACATCAGATGACCTTGAAAAAAACTCTTTAAATCTTTTCTGAATATATATAAATAGTAAAATAATATATTATGGTTCCTGTGTACATTAATGCATTGATGTCTGCAAAGTACCCATATAATTTTGGCTCCTACCCATCTTTGTTAAAAAATTTATTCATCAAATTATTTAATGTGTGCCTTATTCCACAGCATTTCTCTAAGTTGACTTGTAGCAGTTCTGAGATTACCCATTCATGTGACTGATCCGGGAGGCAGCTTTCTCAATCAGCAGCTAGAGTAACTGAAAACTGAGAATTGTCTAATGGGTGTAAAACAGAAAGGAAGCCTGGGCATGGCGGCTCACACCTGTAATCCCAGCAGCTTGGGAGGCCAAGGTGGCAGGATCACTTGAGCCCAGGGATTTGAGACTAGCCTAGGCAATACAGTGACGCCTTGTCTCTTCAAAAATTTAAAAAAAAAGGAAAAGAAAAAGAAAAAACTAGCTGAGTGTGGTGGTGTATGTCTGTAGTCCCAGCTACTTGGGAGGCTGAGGTGGGGAGATCCTTTAAGCTGAAAAGGCAGAGATTGCAGTGAGCCAAAATCATGCCACTGCACTCCAGCCTGGGTGACAGAGTGAGACCCTGTCCCAAAAATAACTTAAATAAAAATAAAGAAATAAAAGAATAGAAAAGATGATATGTAGGTAGGAAAAAGCAATAGATAATTACTGATATTAAAAACAGCCATTTCTTTTAATAGAGTTTAGTGTCCAATAGCAATTATATCTGTGACTTGACTGCAAATAATCATCATTTTTCCTAGAATTAGCTTTATAATTCCCCATTATCACTTTACATCTTATTCATTTCCTAAAATTTCTAAGGTTAAGCTTCATTAATCAGGTAATAGCTCAATAAAATACCATGGAGTCAACTAAGTCAGATTTAGCCCAAAGTCAAACAGAGCCAATTCCCACGTTCTTCCCACCTTCCTCTAGTGCGTAGAACTCATCAGAAGATGAGAGGGGAGCACTCCAGAGAAAAGGCACTCACAGACTGAAGGGAAATGTGGCTGTCCTGGGCTGAAAACCAGGCCCTACGTCCACCCAGCCCTGTTTCCTTTGCTTTTAGGTGCTGTGGATCATCTGTGGCTCTGGGGCTAGAAAAGCCGAATGTTCCTCTTTTTCAGACTCAGCCACCCAGGCCAGAAAATCTCAGTGCCCCTGGCCCCTGAATGAAGTAGCAGCAATCAAGCCCTCAAGAGTGAATAAAAGTCTTCAGTTCCTTTGGGACCCTCTTCCCTAATGGGCACTAAGGAAGTGTGGAACCAAGGAAGCAATTAGACTGGAGGCGTTCCTCTCTTCCCTTCTCTTTCTCCCCACTGCATCTACCTCATTAATTCTTAGACTGAAATGCAATTATACAGTGGTATTTAGTTATATTCAGTTTAAAGCTCTTTAATTAACAATAATTCTTGGGCTGTTTTTCCTCTAGGAGCGAGCCATCCATGAAGTTCAGATGTTTGAGATTGCCCAGTGATCCTTTACCTGGAGAATCTGGGTTTGAAGAAAGAGCCAGAAATTAGGAAAGCAACCACTTAAACAGGCAACAATCCCATCTGATGCTAAAAACAAAACAAAACACAGCTGCACCTGTTTTTTTCTACAATTTGCTTTATAATCCCCCATTATCACTTCCACAACTGATTGAATTCATATTTTATTCATTTTATTTTTTTAGTCTCCTCTTAAAAAAAAAACAGGATACATGTGCAGAATGTGCAGGTTTGTTCCATAGGTATACGTGCCATGGTGGTTTGCTGCACCTATTGACCCGTCCTCTAAGTTCCCTCCCCTCACCCCCACCCCGTAACAGGCCCTGGTGTGTGTTGTTCCCCTCTGTGTCCATGTGTTTTCAATGTTCAACTCTCACTTATGAGTGAGAACATGCACATTTTCTCTTTATTTTCCTTTAAGACTGCTACTGACATTAATTTTAGCATACATTAATTACTGTAACTTGGTTGGATGTATATTTTAAGAATTCAGTCTGCTGACTGCTGTGTAGAGGATGGATCAGAGTGGACAAGGGTAGATTAAGTACATCTGTGAGCATGTTATTTTTACTGGCTAACAAACAAAAAGCAAATGGGTTTATTAAAAATGTTATGACTAAAATCCCTTTGAGAAAATATAGAAGGCACAGAAATTACAACTATACTGTTGTATAAGTAAGTTTATCAGCATTTTTATAATTATTGTGCTTCTTTATGCCAGAAAAAGTACAGAAGAGACTGCCACCTCCATGTTTTAAAACAGTAATGACTGCTTACTGAGAATCTTTCTTTTTTAAAAACCAGACTGCCCAAGGCCCCTTTGTTTTATTCTTGCATTGGCCCCATTAGTTAAATTTTCTTTTAAAGACAAAAATAGGGCTCAAATAGTTAAAACAGTTGCCAAAGTTGACTCCAAAAGTCAATCATAGAGCTTGGATTTGAGTTTTAGTCTGACTGCATTTAACATTTATGCCCAATTCTAACAAAATAGAATAAATATTTTGAATACGAATTTAAAAAGTAAACATGCAGAGTCTCTCATTCCTACCCATTTTCTTGTTCTTTAGTTTTGTGTTAGATCAACATAAAATCTTAAATTTTTCTAACTAGTGATAATTTCTATGTGTTTAAAAGCTTTATTGAGAAGTAATGTATATGTCATAAAAGTTCACCCATTTTAAATGTACAATTCAGTAAATACATATTTGCAAAGAATATATATTTACGGAGTTTTCAGCTATCACCACAGCCTAGTTGTAGAATTTTTCCCTCACACTAAAAAGACGCCTCACGATCATTATAGTTATTCTCATTCCTATCCCCAACACTAGGCCCCCACAAATCTACTTTCTTTCTTTATATATTTGCCATTTGGGGACATTTCTTTTAAGTGGAATTATAAAATATGTGTTCATTTTGACCTGACATCTCTCAGGAAACATAATGTTTTTAAAAGGTATCTCTGTTTTTGCATGTACCAATATTTTGTTCCTTTATAACGACAAATAGTTTTCCATTGTATGGATATTTACATCTCTTGGACCATAGGCTAAGATTCTAAGTTTATTCCTAGTGCATATAAGCCCTTAAAAGATTATTGGTTTAAACATAGAAATGCTTTGAAGATATCAAGATCATGATCATCATCTAGTCAAAAGTGAATTATTTTGGATTGTATCACATATTAAACAGTTCAGCATGTGAATTGTGGAAAAAATATATATGACTTTGATTATCAGTTTCAGCTTGTCATTTCAATTTCTTTCTTCTGTATTACTATAAAAAAACATCATAGAATTGGTGAAAATCAGCCCAGCACTGAGATAAGTTTTAGTTACTGATGTGCCCCAATCTTCCTTTTTTCAACTGCCTTTATTATAAGTTGAGTATTTCATATTGCATGTAAGTAATTCCAGAATTACTTCTTCAAGTGGCTTATACATCTCATAATTACTATCCCTATGACTCATTAACACACACACACACACACACAGAGACAGAGAGAGAGAAGATACAAGCAATAATGAGCCCCTAGAAATATCATCTCATTTCAGCTTCCCAGAACTGCTGTTCTTGGCAAAACCTCAAGAGTCACTAAAGTAACAAGTGACACAAACCTCGAAATTTTATTATTCTTTATATTTAAAGTGTTGTCTCTAAACCTTTCAAGTCATTTATCCATTTAATCTGCTGCAGAAATTTAGTAGTTGTCAACCAGCCAGATTAAATCAGGGATATTGGTTCTCAAAAGACTTACATATAAATTGCATATGTTATTTTACATGATATATGTAGAATGCCAATATGTAAATTTACAAAGAGAAATAAAAAGCCATATTCATTAGAATACATGCATTGATGGGTTGGCATATTCTTTTCCAAATAGGAAAATTGTAGATTCAAAGCAAAATACTTGGCCGGACCCAGTGGCTCACGCCTGTAATCCCAGCACTTTGGGAGGCCAAGGTGGGTGGATTACCTGAGGTCAGGAGTTCAAGAACAGCCTGGCCAATGTAGTGAAACCCCGTATCTACTAAAAATACAAAAATTAGCCAGGCATAGGTGGGTGGTATGTGCCTATAGTCCCAGCTACTCAGGAGGCTGAGGCAGGAGAATCACTCAAACCCGGGAGGCAGAGGTTGCAGTGAGCCAAGATAGTGCCACTGCACTCCAGCCTGGGCGACAGAGCGAGATTCTGTCTGGAAGAAATAAAAAAGCAAAATACTCTCTCAGGAAACTGCTTAGTGAGTACCAAGTTAAAGCGAAGTAAACTGGATGATTGTAACCAAGCGTTCTGCTACATTGATTTGACACACTTTTTTTTTTTTTTTTTTACATTATCAGTATTGCTGTCAATAGGCTGAAATGTCCGTCAGTTGCTACCTCTGGGCCCTTGAGTAGCTGACTTAACCTCTCTGTGCCTCGTCTCCTTCAAAAGAAAAATGGGTAATATGTCCTGCCTTATTGGGTTGTTGTGAAGAATAAGAGAGATGATGGATATAAAATGCTTTCGTATGTAGTAGTAAATGTTTAATGAAGTTGGTTTACCAACCAAGGCTTGAGTATATACATGACTAAGTTAAGAGTCATAATGTAGTAATAACAAAAGCATTGCACATGTGATGAAGATATAATTAAAAATGTACTCAGAGCCGGGCGTGGTGGCTCACACCTGTAATCCCAGCACTTTGGGAGGCCGAGGCGTGTGGATCACGAGGTCAGGAGATCGAGACCATCCTGGCTAACACGGTGAAACCCCATTTCTACTAAAAGTACAAAAAATTAGCCAAGCTTGGTGGCGGGCGCCTGTAGTCCCAGCTACTCAGGAGGCTGAGGCAGGAGAATAGCGTGAACCCGGGAGGCGGAGCTTGCAGTGAGCTGAGATCGCGCCACTGCACTCCAGCCTAGGTGACAAAGCGAGACTCTGTCTAAAAAAAAAAAAAAAAGTACTCAGGAGGCTGAGGTGGGAGGATCGCTCGAGGGCAGGAGTTCAAGGCTATAGTGCACTATGATTATGCCTGTGAATAGCCACTGTGCTCCAGAGCCTGGGCAACATTGCAAGACCCCACCTCTTAAAAAATAAAAAAAAGAAAGAAGAATTTTTTAAAAGAAATGAACTTTGTAAAATCTGCAAGATTTTAAAAGACATAGAAAGACACACAGATCAGAAAAAAATGTTATTTTCTTCAGACTCAAAACAGTGTATTAGGTAAATATACTGGTAGAATTAAAAGATCATTTTTCAGGTTGGAAGTGCACAAACTCTCTCTTTAATCTGACCCATTCTGTTTCTAGCTCAGTAACCTAATTCACACTTCCAAATGGCACGGGTGTCTGGTCCAAACTTGTCCTGGGCAAAAGTGCAAATATCGCAAAGTACCTTAGATACACTTTCAAAATCCTTCTCAGTTCTCTGCAGTCAGTACTCAGTGCTGTTATCTCCATCCAACCCCATTTTTACAAAAGTATCTGACATCAGTCAAGGCCAAAAAAATATAAGATCAGATAGACATCCACTAACCATAAATAGAGTCATTGAGAAAGTACTGATTTTTGATTACTGAAGACCTCCAACTTGAGCGTATAGGGAAACAGAAAAAAAATTATTCTCCTGCAAAGGAAGGCAAACTAGATATTTTCTTCCAACTCTAAATTTTAAATTTTTGTATTATTAGCTTCTTATAAATTTTGAATTTCACTATCATCATACTCACAGATATTTGCAATTTTATCCCTTAGTCTTTAATAACAGAATAAACATATATATGCTTGTTAAAAGAAGTTTTTATATTGATAAGAATAGATACTGAGAGTGGGGGTAATTTCTAATTTTTATACTAACTTCAAAATAAGGTTCCTGAACAAAGACTCTCATCTTCAATATCATCCACCTTCCCCCATAAGCCTTTCTCCTGACACACATATACACTTATCCCTAAGACTTCTCCCTTCCATTTCTCTCTCACTGCCACTGTACTAATAGATCATTGAACTTAGCAACCTACAAGAATTTTCTTAATGTCCACGATTCTCCTCCTTCAATTGGTTGAGCAGGTGAAATGACCAAGACACATAGGAAATCTAAATAGGATAACCACTATGGAAAACAGTGTGGAGATTCCTTAAGGAACTAAAAGTAGATCTACCATTCGATTCAGGAATCCCACTATCGGGTATCTACCCAAAGAAAAAGCAGTCGTTATATGAAAAAGACACATGCATATGCACGTTTATAGCAGCACAATTCGCAATATGGAACCAGCCTAAGTGTCCATCGACTGACTAGTGGATAAAGAAAATGTGGCATGTATACACCATGCAATACTACTCAGGCATAAAAAGGAATAAAATAATGTCTTTTACAGCAACTTGGATGGAGCTGGAGACCAGTATTCTAAGTGACACTCGGGAATGGAAAGCCAAATACCACATATTCTCACTTACAAGTGGGAGCTAAGCTATGAGGATGCAAAAACACACAGACTGATACAATGGACAGTAAGGGACTCAGGGTGGAGGAAGTTGGGCGTGGGAAGAGAGATAAAAGACAATACATTGAGTGTAGTGTACACTGCTCAGGTGACAGGTGCACTAAACTCTCAGAATTCACTGCTAAAGAACTCATCCATGTAACCAAAGACCACATATACCCCCCAAAACTATTGAAATAAATGGAAGAATTTTAAAAATTTAACACTGTGAAAAACTAGGAAAGAAGAAGAGAAGAGGAAAGAGAGAAATATGTGTAGAACAAGAGATGTACATTTAAAAATAACTAAAAGAGTATAATTCGGTTGTTTGTAACACAAATGATAAATGCTTGAGGTGATGGATACCCCATTTACCCTGATCTGATTATGACTTATTGAATGCTTGTATCAAAACATCTCCTTCACCTCATAAATATGTACACCTACTAAGTACCCACAAAAATTAAAAACTTAAAAAGTATTTAAACAGAAGCGGCAAAGTTTTAGGCACATACCAACTGATGGGAAGCACTTTGAATACGGGTAGCAAGATTTTTCTCAAGTTTCCAGGCAAGAAGAATGTGTTCCTAAAGCCAAAACTCTGTTTTACATAAGATGCCATGGCATACAGCCAAGATATTGCACCCTCTCCTCTGGATTACAAGACACATAGATGCCACACTCAGTCCTGCTATTAGAATGGACCTGAAATTCTGAATTTATAAGTTTTCAAACTTGAAAGTATAAATGGACCTGGTTTCCTTACAGGCAATATTCCCAGTGGCCTAATCCCCAGGCTTTAAAAGCATGAAAGGGCAAAGGGAATAATTAGAGGCTTTCCTCTCTTTTCTCATGCCCTTTCTATTCCCTACCTCTTTATTTCATAAGACATGACATATTCACTATGAAAGTGGCATCACAAGTTTATAAACTACTTGGTAAATATTCAAAGGGGCAAAAAAACCCACACACTTTCTCTGTTTTAATATTATCAATGTTTTTATACTGATAAGGAATATTTTTAACTAGTTCCAATTATGCTATATATGTAGCTTTGCATCTTTTTGTTTAGTTTATTTTTGGTTTACAATTTTATCAAAATATTTTCCATATTACTCAATTATTACAACCATCTTTTTTGTTTTCCTTTTATTAGTTGACACATAAAAATTGTACATATTTATGAGATACAGAGTGGTACTTCAATACATGTATACAATGTGCAATGATCAATTCAGAGTACTTAGTGTATCTATCCCCCACACACTTACCATGTCTCTGTGTTGTGACCATCCAAAAATCTTTCTTCTGGCTTTTTCAAAATATACAATAAATTATAGGTAACTATGTTCACCTTACAGTGCTCCAGAACACCAGAACTAATTCCTCCTATTCAGCTGTAATTGTGTATTCGTTGACCAACCTCTTTCCATTTTCCCCATCTATTCTTTCCAGCCTCTAATACCCACAGTTCTACTCTTTACTTTCATGAGCTCAAAAAAAAAATTTAGCTCCCACATATGAGTGAGAACATGCAGTATTCATATATCTGTGCCTGACTTATTTCACATAACATAGCATCCTCCAGGTTCATCCATGTTGCTGCAAATGACAGTATTTCACTCTTTTTAGTGGCTGAATAGTATTCCATTGTGTATATATACCATGGAGGTGCATGTGTACTGCACCTTTGATATACTGACTTGCTTTCCTTTGTATAAATACCCAATAGTGAAATTGTTGGGCTGCATGAAAGTTCTATTTTTAGTTTTTAGAGAAATCCCCACACTGTTTTCCATAATGTTAACTTACATTCCCTATGGCCACTTTACTCAAACATATTCATTTTTATGGATATTTAATTTTTTAACAGTTTTTTAATATTTTCCCAAATAAAAAAGTACTGTTAGAAAAATAGGTAGACATAAGTGCATGTATAATGCACTATGATAATCTTATTAACCCATGTAGTTATCCATATTTGAGACTTTACTAAAGATAAGTAAACCTAAGTAGAAATCCTATAAAATTAATGAATATTATGGTTTTGAAGATTATTATTAAATTGTTTACTTTGTTAGCACCAGTGCTTGCAAGAGCCAACTTTACCAGTGTTATTATTTAATTACTTAAAAGTTTTAAAGCTTTTACCATAAGCAGTTTTCAACCAACTATCTTTAATCTTCATTTTTGGTTATTCTTAAAGCTAAACATATTTACAAATTTGTATTTATTATTTTTCTTTATAGCAACTAAAAAAAGTGAGGTTGGTTTAGGACCAGATTAATTTAAAAATGGAATAGAATAGACAGCATAAAAACACACCCCTTGCATATTTGATTTAAGTCAAAGCTGGCATGGAAGATTATGGTAAATGTATTTTTCCAATAAATTATGCTTGGACAACTGAATCAACATGGAACAAATCAGATTAATCTCTTACCACATACTATACACAAAATCAATTCCAGGGCCATTATAAACTCAAATTTTTATAA
The DNA here is from genome assembly GCF_000001405.40 of Homo sapiens. Lineage (NCBI taxonomy): Eukaryota > Metazoa > Chordata > Mammalia > Primates > Hominidae > Homo > Homo sapiens. Next base: position 124,045,481 of record NC_000011.10, on the reverse strand, counting down.
CAAATAATACGGCTTTTACAAATTGAATTGGGGAAAAACTTTCTGATGCAGGTATAGAAACTAAGAGAAATAAAAGAAACATCATTCGTTTTGGTTACTTTAATATTGAGAATAATATTAAAATAGTAAAAAATAAAAATAAAAAGTGAAAAAGATGTTACTTATAACAAATATTACTATCAAGGACTGGTATTCAAAATATATAAAGAATTTCTAAAATTTATATTAAAATCAAGCAATCCAATATAAATAAATGTAGGTAAATTACTTGGCCAGGCTTCATAAAAGAAGAAATACAATTGGCCAATAAACAAAAGAAAATCTACTCTATCACTTTAAGAGTTAGGGAAATGCAAATTAAAATTGCATTAAAATTATGCCTAAAGTAAATGTCAAAATTGTCAATTGCAAGAACTTTCACACATTTCTAAAGGGAATATAAATTTATAGAATTACTTTTTAAAAAAGGTTTATTACTTTCAAATAAGCTGGAAGATATCTTCCTCACAATATCAACATTTCCATGTAGAAACTCAGGCTTATGTGCCCAGGGTAATGTATAAGAGTATTTAAGGCGGGATTTTTGTTATAACCAAAATTTGAAAACCCAAGTATCTACCAAGTGTGTATTTTACAATGGAACAATGCATATGAATTAAATGAATAAATTTATTGCTGTACATATCAATATGTACATGTCTTCAAAACATAATTTTAAATATTACATTAGAGCAAATGTGATTGCGATTTTTGCCATTAAATGCAATAGCAAAAACCGTAATTACTTTTGCCCAACCGTATAGAAACTCTATATTAAATATAACTATGATTCCACTTACATAAGTTTTTAAAAGGCAAAATTTAACTGTATTGTTTAAAGATACCCTCAAAATTAGTACGAAATTGAGATTCTCATGATAGCGGAATGGAAGGAGATTGACTTCAGGAAGAGATGTGAAGGCTCAAAGGTTGCTGGCAATACTTACTTTTTTAATTTGGGTGGTGGAGACATGAATGTTTGCTTTAGAATACATCTGGCCTGTGTCTGTACGAAGTTTTATCTATTTACTTTATATTTCACAACACAACGCAAATGATGAAAATAAAAATAGTTAATTTGGAGATGTTCAATTCTGGCCCGTGATACAATAACAAGGATTAGATTTCTCCTCTCACAATATAGACATAGAACACTGGACCCCAAAATATATATTAAAACAGGTATTTTCAGACATTGAACAACAAGTAGCACAAGACTGTGATCCCCAAGAAAGGAAAAGCAAATGAGGTGAGCACTCTGTTTGGAGGCACATTCTGAGCCATGGTGCATGGATAGGGGTCTGAAGCAGAGCACAACAGTTTTGCTGATTTTCAGGAACAGAGTTCTGAGTTAAAATATATAAATAATACAAAATTTACACACACTCTATCAGAAAATTGAATAGGCAAGAAACGTCCCAACTCATTCGATGATTTCAGTATTATCTTGATACAAAAACAAGACAAAGACATTATAGGAAAAGAGCTATCAATTTATATTCTTTATAAACAAGTATATTAAAATTCCTAATAAAATTTTCCAAATTGAATTTAATATATATGAAAAAAATGATTTGCATCATAATCAACCAGGTTGATTCCAGGAATGTAAGTATAGTTTAATATTCAGTACTCAAGCAACATAATTTGCCGTATTAACAAACTGAAAAAGAAAAACTATATGACTGTCTCAATAGATGCAGAAAATGCACTCGACAAATTGCAAAAGCCATTTCTGGTAAAAAAAAATCTCAGCTAACTAGGGGATAGAAGGAACCAATCTCATTTGTCAAACAGAAAAACAAAACAAACACAACAAAAAAAACCCCACAGCTGACGTCATGCTTAGTAGTAAAAAAAACTAGATATTTTCCCCTAAGATCAAGAACCTAGCATGTCTACTGCCACCACTTCTATTCAACATTGAGCTACAGTTTCTAGACAGGACATTTAGCTAAGAAAAAGAACTAAAAGGAATCTAGATTGTAAAGGAGAAGTAAACTGTCTGTGTTTGCACACGACATGGTCATCTATGTAGAAAATCTGATGGAATATCTAAAAAGACTATAGGAACTGATAAGTGAGTTTAGCTGAGTTGTAAGATATAAGATTTATATGCAATAATCAATCAACTCTATGTATTAACAACGAACAATTGGAAGTTGAAATTTTAGAAGTACTATTTAAAATAGCATCAAAATAAAATATTCCTAGTGATAAACCTGACAAAATATACTGGATATGAGCACTGAAACGACACAACATTGTTGAGAGAAACAAAAGAGATCAACAGTATTTGTGATCAAACATAATCCAGTATTACTAAGATAGCAATTGTCCCAAATTTATTGATAGATTGAATGCAATTCCAATCAAAATCACAGCAGGCTTTTGTGTGTGTAAATAAACAATTTTTTGTGTAAAATTTATATGGAAACGCAAAGGACTTTTTTATTTTATTTTATTTTATTTTTGAGACAGAGTCTCGTTCTTACCCAGGCTGGAGTGCAGTGGCGTGATCTCGGCTCACTGCAAGCTCCATCTCCCGGGTTCACGCCATTCTCCTGCCTCAGCCTCCCAAGCAGCTGGGACTACAGGCGCCCACTACCATGCCTGGCTAATTTTTTGTATTTTTAGTAGAGACGGGGTTTCGCCGTGTTAACCAGGATGGTCTCGATCTCGTGACCTCCTGATCCGCCTGCCTCAGCCTCCCAAAGTGCTGGGATTACAGGCGTGAGCCACCGCACCCGGCCGCAAAGGACTTTGAATAGCAAAAGTAATTGTGAAAAAAACAGAGAAATGGCTCAGTGGCAGAGGAGGCCCAGTGATGAATACGGTTGGTAAACAGGAATGCCTGGACTTCTACGCTTCTCTAGTCTTTGTTAGAGTATCAACAAGTCACCAGACTGTGTGGGTGGATTCAGCTGTGCCTTTTTCCATGTGCAAAGAACTATCAATGCAGAATTCTTGATGATGTTTAGAAGTTCTGGCGTGTTTATCACATAAAATCCCACTGGGTTTTAGTGAAACAGCCAAAAATGATGGATAATTCCTTTCTTTTTCTTAAAGAAATTAAAACTCAGCAAATGTTACTATTGAACTCCTCTTCCTGGAAAAAGGCACAGACAAGTTGTGTAGCACTCACAACAGACCTAAGTAATTCCTAAACCATTGCTAGGTGGGTGACAATAGTGTCTTCTACCAATACAGCAAGACAGAAAAGAAAGATAACAAATGTTTACTTTTGGAAAGAAAGACAAAAGTATCATTTTATAAAGATAATGTAACTGTATACTGTATACCAAGAAAATTGATAAGTTACACTGAAAGCACAAGTTAATAGTATTCACAAAGATAAGTACAGAAAGTTGGATAGAAGTTTCAATTAACAAAAATTGATAGCATATATTTGATAAAGAGATTTCAAAATATAATTGGAGCTAAATTGAAAGTAATTACTAAAATAATATTGTGATTTTACATTGATTAAATATGCCTTATACTAAATGGATAACCAATGTCAGAAAAATGGGTAATTTGGTAATTTAATTGGAAAAAAATATTAATTCAGGGGACTTCAGTTCTTCAAATTCCATTCCATATAGGACTATATTTTCCATATGCAGATGAGAGCATTTCTATTAGCACAAAAGGCTCATGAAACTGCAATTGTCCTCCAAAACTAACAGTGCTTTGGGCATCTACATTAGACCAGTTTTTCTTGTTGTTTTCATGAAAGCTTTTTCCTAATAGCTAAGAAATATATTAATTATGGAAGAAAAGCATACCTTCATTCTCTTTAATTGTATTAATTCAAGCTAAAAAATAAAAGAAAGTTTCACAGAAAATTTAAATACATTTTAAAGTTTAGAAGATATGAAAGAACAAAGGCAAAGTCTCTGAGAAGAACAGAAAATCTCTGAACTAGCATCCATTCTCAGCCAGGAACTTGCACAGTGAGAGTCTGCCAAGCCCCAGAGGGAGGAAGTTTAATTAGGAAGATGTTTATCTACAGGGAGTAGTACTCTGATCATCCCTGGAGCACAGAAAATCCGGAGCTTCTTTTTGTGACTCACCACAAAGTTAAAGATTTATCAGAGAGACTATGCACCTCTTCAGATAATTAGCTCCTTTATAACTAAAACCCATATTTACTATTATTAAATTTAAAAAAGAAATAGGAAAAAAATCATTCCCTGCACAAGGAGTTTTCAGATCCAGAGTGTCATAGTTATTCATTTTGGAAGTTGATTTTTGGCTAAATAAAAAGGTTTATGGAATGATGGCCATCCAATGCAGAATCAACTTTAGCAGATGCATTTGGAAAAAATTCCAAGTGTTTATCATGATGTCAACACATTATCTTCACTCATAAGGACTGTAGAGCTAACGGAGTGTCTCCTAAGACATCAAATTCATATTAAGTTCTATTTAAAAAGAGTTTCTTCTGTGGTTTCATCTTTGCAAGAAAAGAAAAATTATACCACTTATCAAGAACTGACATTTTCTTTCAATATTGAATTTTGCTTCATGATCCAAAACCTAGTTGTAAAATTGGTAAGTAGCAAAAATTGGCAACACTTCAGCATTTTTCGTTATTAGACACTTTTTGAGGGGAGGTGATTATGATGTATTTATGGTCATACTTTTGTTTCTCTTCATTTTTCGTCAGCTTTGGCTAATGAAGCTAGATTATCTTAGTCATGACTTACAGAGCCAACTTTTTGTGGTTCTGTAGAAGACTAAAAATTTTGTGAAATCATAAATCAATGAAGTGCTTTTTCTATAAACCTTAGCATTGCAACTCTGAGTTTCCAACTCAGTTGCAGCTGAATTCCATGATGGAAAAGTCTGCTTCTGTCAGAGCCCCCCCCACAAAAAATGTATTGCTGATTTATGACAGAAGCATTTTAGAAATTAATAATGAAATGCTTCTTTTCTATCAGAGAGGTCCAGGTCTTCAACCACGTTTCCTTATATTTCTTCATAAATTTTAATTTATTTTCTCTTGAAAATATAATGTCTGGGACATTGTGTCCACGTTAAAGAAAAAAAGAAAAACTTTGAGTCTGAGCTTTGAAATAATAGAAATCCTAGAAATAATGGAAATAAAAGACTTTTTTTATTTTTAGAAGGGCATTTGTATTTTTGTAATAACTATATTATTATTTTAATTCCATTCTGAAACTCAAACATCAGAGAAAGTTTAGTCTTTCTTACTACTCAAGCAGGTTCCATTCTTCTTGGCTATCTCAAAATGTGTTGTGAGATTATTTGATCATACTTTAGAAAGAGAAGGCTTAATTGCCTAAAATTCTGGAGAAGTAAATAATACAAAATGTATAAATAGAAAGAGACACAGAATAAGGGAAGCTAAAGAAAATGATGGTACTGTTCATTATTGCATTAGCTTGGGGTCAAACTTTGTATATGACCAGGAAGGTATGATCTAGGGCAGGGGTCCCCAGTGTTTGTGGCACGAGGGACCAGTTTCTGGTTTAATGGAAGACAATTTTTACATGGACCAGGGTGGGACCTGGGGTGGGGAGGGGGAGGATCTTAGTTAGATTCTCATAAGGACCACACAACCTAGATTCCTCGCATGTGCGGTTCACAATAGGGTTCCCACTCCTACGAGAATCTAATGCCCCTGCTGACGTGACAGGAAGCGGGGCTCAGGTGGTGATGCTCGCTTGCTGGCAGCTCTCTTCCTGCTGTGCGGACTGGTTCCTAACAGGCCATGGACCGGTACCAGTCCCTGACCTGGAGTTTGAGGACCCCTGATCTAGGGTAAGACAAAGGAACAGAAGACCGGCTCCACATAATGCTAAACCACTGCTGGAATCCTGCCTTAGTTCTGCAGCTGGCCAGAGAGCTCTGAGAAGGCAGTTTTCTCCCAGCCATCCAGAATGAAGCTTGCTTTAGAAATTTGTATTTGTAATGGAAATTCTCTAATGATCAAAGAGACTGAACCTGTATGTGTGAAAGTGTGTGTGTGTGTGTTGACACAGAGAGAATGTGTGTGTGCATGCGTATCTATATATGTGTGTGTTTGAGAGAAAAACAGAGAGAGATGCTTGAATAAAGGCTTATCCCCGGAAAGAGCTTGCCAGCACCTAAGTGTTGTTAATTTGAGTATATCTTTTCCAATTCTACAGAAAATAGGATACAAAATTTGTTCTTCTTTTCAAAATTTGGCTGATTTTATGTTAATTTCCTCCTCTTTTGTATATGGCTTATTCTGGTACTGGAATAAGAAAGTGCTATTCCTCTTCAAAGACCTATACTGAAGCAAAAGGAAGTTATAAAATATAAAAAATAATTTAACCCTATTGTTCTTAATCAGAAAAATATAGTTGCCATATTTCATATAAAACATGCTCACAGTAAATGCTATCTCCCTTCCTTTCTGTAAGAACAGAGCCCCATATATGAGAAGAAATGTCCAACGCCACCCTACTGACAGCGTTCATCCTCACGGGCCTTCCCCATGCCCCAGGGCTGGACGCCCCCCTCTTTGGAATCTTCCTGGTGGTTTACGTGCTCACTGTGCTGGGGAACCTCCTCATCCTGCTGGTGATCAGGGTGGATTCTCACCTCCACACCCCCATGTACTACTTCCTCACCAACCTGTCCTTCATTGACATGTGGTTCTCCACTGTCACGGTGCCCAAAATGCTGATGACCTTGGTGTCCCCAAGCGGCAGGACTATCTCCTTCCACAGCTGCGTGGCTCAGCTCTATTTTTTCCACTTCCTGGGGAGCACCGAGTGTTTCCTCTACACAGTCATGTCCTATGATCGCTACCTGGCCATCAGTTACCCGCTCAGGTACACCAACATGATGACTGGGCGCTCGTGTGCCCTCCTGGCCACCGGCACTTGGCTCAGTGGCTCTCTGCACTCTGCTGTCCAGACCATATTGACTTTCCATTTGCCCTACTGTGGACCCAACCAGATCCAGCACTACTTCTGTGACGCACCGCCCATCCTGAAACTGGCCTGTGCAGACACCTCAGCCAACGAGATGGTCATCTTTGTGAATATTGGGCTAGTGGCCTCGGGCTGCTTTGTCCTGATAGTGCTGTCCTATGTGTCCATCGTCTGTTCCATCCTGCGGATCCGCACCTCAGAGGGGAGGCACAGAGCCTTTCAGACCTGTGCCTCCCACTGTATCGTGGTCCTTTGCTTCTTTGGCCCTGGTCTTTTCATTTACCTGAGGCCAGGCTCCAGGGACGCCTTGCATGGGGTTGTGGCCGTTTTCTACACCACGCTGACTCCTCTTTTCAACCCTGTTGTGTACACCCTGAGAAACAAGGAGGTAAAGAAAGCTCTGTTGAAGCTGAAAAATGGGTCAGTATTTGCTCAGGGTGAATAGTTAAGAAAGGCCATATATGGCTAACTTTTCTTTTTTTATTTGTAATTAAATTAAACCTTCAACATAAGCATTATACTTGAATGGAGCATTTCAATTATTCAGTCTTAATTTTTAATTGGACAGTTAATTAATTTTTCATTTTTTTCTGCAGAGTGTTTGTTAGAATCCTAGTTAAAGCAGCCATTTCACGGTGATAATCTAAGAGAAAGGATAATAGTCTATTCTTTTCACGTTCCATTAAGTAATCAGAAAAGTAATTTATTTTCTTATATAAATATTTTCCAGAATTGTTATTCAGTATAATGTTCTTACAGTTTATTTTGTGTCATTTAAGTCAAAGCCTTATAAAAATCTTTTCATGTTTTAAACTTTCTATATTGAAAAATTCATTATAGCATTCATAAATAACTACATAATTTAATATCCATAAGATAAAATTTTTACTTTAGAAAATACTAGACAAAAAGGCTTGGTTCTCAAGAAGAATGGCTTTATTCACATTCATGGGCCAATAAAAACCATATAACTCTTTAATATTTTTTTCTTACTTTGGCCTGAAAGATTTCTGAGAGTAAATATTTGTCCATTTATGCACTGTATACACTGTACACATTGTATTGGTCTCTGATGACAACTATCTAGACTTTCCTTCCATATTTGTGGAGCTGCCAATCTCTTATCCTCAATGGCAAGTTTCCATTTTCAGCAATTTTAAAATTATTTTTATAAGTACCAGAGGATAAATAATAAATATACAAAAATGATCAAATAATCTTAGAGACAAAAATATGCAGTCAAAAACTGTTAAGAGTATCCCTTAATTTAGAATAAAGTACTAGATAATATTTCCCATGTAATTAGACTATGTCTGCAAGTCACATTCGTTTGTTTGACTTAAAGTATATGAAATGGACTCTGTACACTCTCTGGGTAGGTAAGGCTCAGACCATGAACCTTATAATCTGTCATCCAAATAAATACATATATTTAAAGTGTAAATAAATTTTTCTCAAAATAAATGTTTAATTTAAATACCACAGGTATCCTGGTCATGCCAACTCTGCCTAGCATAGCATGAAGAGTAAAAGAAAACTAGAAGGCAGCTGCTAGAACTGAAAAGCATTTCTCAAACTCCTCAGATTTGCAGCAGCTGCATTTCAAAGATGCTTTAGCAAGAATGCTCCTTTGTGCCAACTTTCCATATCTTGCTCCAAGTAAACTGTGCGGTGATATTGAGAAGAAAAACATACTAACTTGGTAAGCATGAGCTACATAAACCATGACACAGTACATGAAGCATGAACTACATAAACCATGATCAGTATAAGAGGTAAATTTTTGGTTTTCACACCAAGAAACCAGATTGCTATGGACCAATTATATAATTCAGCTCATTTCTCAAAGGAAAAAACTGAGGTAGACATAAACCAAAATTACTTAGTCATTGGATTCACTTGGATTCTTACACTTCTCTGTAACATCACGCTGTTATATCTAACTTACCATTACCTAAAATGTTATGGGATATTTATTGGGTGTTAAGTCACATGCTAAACAGTAGATACGCAAAAACAATAGACAAGGTCTCTGCATTCACCAAAGTCATTGTCTGGCAAGGGGGAAAAATATGTTGCATTGTCCAGGTTACATTGTTGTAAGTGCAATGGATGCCCAAGGAGAGATTCATTATTAGTTTTGACTTGGAAAGATGCTAAAGGATTCAAAATACTATGGCAATATGTATCACACACAACCATTTTGAAAGTAAATTATTGATAAACATATATAAGAAGAATGTCAGTCTTTATTTAATTGAAAATGTTGTTGAAATAATTTTAGAATCGCATGAAGTTGTAAGAAATAACACAGTGATAGTTCTTGTTATACCTTGCCCAGTTTCCCCCAATGGTAACAGTTAGCAAAATTGTAGTGCAATATCACAACTGGGATATTGACATTATTATAATCCACAAATCTTATTCAGATTTTTCTAGTTTTACTCACGTGTATGTGTGTGTATTTGTTAAATACTATACAGTTTTAACACCAGTGTATGTTAATTTTAACCTGGCTCAATCTACCTATTTATCCATTCAATAAATAAATATACACTGAGTGGCTATCGTGTCCTATGTACAATTAGTACAAAACAAAATAAACAGGCATAGACCTCCTGTTAAGAAGTTTGTAGTCCCAATATACAAGATGTATAGTGTTCCTAAGTTGATGAGTCATAAAAATCAAACAAATCATGACAAAATTTGTATACAATACTAGGAAGAAGGATTTTTATCTTGCAAGTTCTGGAGAGTTATTGAAATACTGTAATATGATAGCATTTTTATTTAGAGACATAACCTGTGGTAACATGGAAGACAGACGGAAGGAAGGTGAATTTTAGGGCAGCAACTAAAGAGCTTTTTTGATTGTATATCAAGAAAGAAAAACACCAAAGTCCAAGTTGAGACAACAGCAGAGGGAATTGGGAGTGGGGAAAGGGACAGCAAATAGGAGCCCACTGTGTGAGGCGGCAAAGCTGATGGAGAAGTTCATATGATTTGGCCATTGTGATATAACTTATCAAAATAGAGAAAGTAACAGGGATATGTTCTTAGGGTAGAATGAAAGTGTCTGACTTTGGGAATGTTTGGGTCGAGTGCCTGTGGAAGTTTCGGGTAAAATTATTTGGTTGAAGGTGTAGCTTGGGAGATGCAGAAGCCTACACAGTTAAGTAAGCAAGAGTACTGGTCACTATATTCCTTGTTTTGTGCTGGCTGTTAAACATCTGTTTCCTAACATGGAGAAGGAAATGTCTCTTATTCAATAGTAGCATGAAGAGAGGTCAGATCAGGAAAAAGTAACCACCACCTCTCCTACATTTCTCGAGGAAGTCCAAGAAAGGAAACCTTAAGGAGTTTTATACAAATCTGTTATTGGACCTTCCTTACAGTATTATTTCTCACAATGACACTCAAAGACCTTTCTAGAAGGTTGTAAATTCAAAGAAGTCCAGAGACAGTATTTATAAAAGCAGCTCCTTCTTGATGGCATGGTCATGAAAGATAGCAAAGGATGAAAGGGCCACCACTGTTGCTCTTTCAGTTCCCTGATGCTATTAAACTCCTTTAATAGGTTAGATCTTAATAGCATTGAGGGGATACTAGAAGGAAATTAAAAGAAAATCAAGTGTCAAAAGGATTAACTTAAATAATAAAAGGGCCGCTTGAGGATTTGGGAAATAAAGGTGCACATTGAAGGCACATGGTGCACATAGTAGGCACAGAAGCATAAAACCTGTGTGTTTAAAGATGGAGATAATATGTGGATGAGTGGAACAGAATATGGAGTCCAGAAAGAGACCTACGCATAGCAGTCTGTTGACTTTTAGCCAAAGTGCCAAGGCATTTTGAAGAAAAAAGTGTGATACTTTCAACAAATTATGCCTAAAAGTCTGTCTATCCCTAAGTAAGAACGAAACTTTGAATATTACTTCACTTTATATACAAAAATTAACTTAAATGAGATTATTGACCTAGATGTAAAAGCTAATACTATTATATTTCTAGGACAAAAAAGTAGGAGAGAAACTTTCATAAACTTGAGGTAGATATAGATTTCTTAAGGAGGACAGAAAACATGAACCATAGAAATAAGTCAAAAGTTGGGCTTTATCAAAATTAGAAATTTGTGCTCTTCCAATGATATTAATAAGTAAATGAGTAGGCAAAAAACACACTAGATGTAAATATTTGTAATGCATATATCTAATAAAGAACTGAATAAAAAATTGTAAAGATATACCACAATTTAATAATTAAAAACAACCCAATGAGAAATGGGCAGAAGATCTGAACACACGCTTCTCAAAGAAGGATATTTGAATGGGCACCAGGAAGATGAAAAATTGCTCAACATTATTAACCGTTAGTGAAATATAAATTCAGACATAATAAGACTACACACACATAGTCAAATGGCCAAAATTTAGAAACCTAAAGTCAATATTATTGAGAATGTGGATCAATAAGAACTTTTATGCATTTCTGGTAGATATATAAAACGGTACAGCCAGTTTGGAGAAAACCCAATTTTTTAAAATATTAAATACATATTTGTCATTGAACTTATCATTCAACTTGACAAATCTATTTTTTAATGTTTACCCGAGAGTTTAAATCATATGCCTAACAAATATTTGCAAATGAATCTATGTAGCAGCTTTATTAATAATATCCCCAAACTGAAAGCAATAGGTAATAGATTATGGCATATTTATATAATAGACTACCTTTCAATGACAAATGCATTACTGATACACACAAATGCACAAATAAATATAAAAAACATTAGGATAAACATAACAAGTCAGACACAAGATAGTATATACTATATGATCCCATTCATAGGAAACTCTAAAAAGGACAAATCTAATCCATAGTGAGAGAAGGCAGATCAGTAGTTATCTGGGGCTTAGGGTAGTGTAGGACTGATGAGAAGGGACACGGCAGATTATACGTGGTACTGGAAAAGTTTTTACCATGATTTTTGTGGTAGATACACAGGTACTTCCATTTGTTAAAACATATCAGACTGTGCACCTAAAATGGATACAAACTATACCTCAATAAAGTTTTGCATTTTAAAAACAAATTCTTTCCCAATAAAGTTTTTAAAAGCAGGAAAAAAGTAACCCCCCCACCCCAAAACAGGCCCTGATGTGTGATGTTCCCCTTCCTGTGTCCAAGTGTTCTCATTGTTCAATTCCCACCTATGAGTGAGAACATGCAGTGTTAGGTTTTTTGTCCTTGCGATAGTTTGCTGGGAATAATGGTTTCCAGCTTCATCCATGTCCCTACAAAGGACATGGGAGGGATAGCATTAGGAGATATACCTAATGTAAATGATGAGTTAATGGGTGCAGCACACCAACATGGCACATGTATACATATGTAACAAACGTGCACGTTGTGCACATGTACCCTAGAACTTAAAGCATAATATATATATAGAGAGAGAGAGAAAGAGAGAGAGAGAGAGAGAGAGAGCAGGCAAAAAGTCAAACTACAAATTAAAAACAAAAAAGAGAAACTTATTTCTAAAGAGCAATGACGAAGTAATTGGTGCAGACCTAACCTCCCTTCAAAACTGTATAAAATGTAGTCACACACTATACAAATTACTAAAGGATATTCTAAAATTGAATAAAATAATCCTAGATAGAAGGATAGAAGTGCAAAATAGATAAGTCCATAAATACCACAGGAAAGGGTGAATACGTACATAAACATACAAGAAGACCTTTGACTGTTTAAAGCCCCAACAGTAACATGTTGTCTGGTTTATAACATAGTTAGAAATTAATTAGTTAGAAATTAAATAAAGGTCAAAAATATTTCTAAAAAAAGGTATAAAGCCATTACATGGAACTAAATGTAAGACTCTTGGATTATTCAAATATGGTAAGGTACTAATGCAAATAGCTTGTAATGCATTGAAATGATATTGACTTTATCATAAAAATATAATAAAAAGTAAAAATAGTTAAAAGTAATGAAAAATGAAATAAAGTAATGAAAATACTTGATTAATACATTAAATATTTTGAAAAATACAAAAAAGATTGAGAAACATGAATAAAGAGAAAGGAATTTAAGGTAAGAATAGAAAACAACAAAATATTAGACTATTACAGATACAGTAATGCACTACAAAAAAAGATAAATAAATAAGTAAAACAGGCAGCTTATAAAAGAAGCAACATCTAATTATATCTGGTTTAAAAACAACTACACTAAATACAAACACACACACACACACACACACACACACACACACACGGAAAGTTAAAGGGTAGAAAATTTATGCCAAGAAAATACTAGGAAAAAAACTAATATGACTATATTATTAGCAAATAAAGTGAACTTTCAAGTAAGAAGTATTATCAGAGATATAAAGGACATTTTTTAAATGTCTACTCATAAAAAGCTAAAAGGATCAATTTATTTTAGGTGGGGTCCTACATGTTTATGGACTTTACCTTCATGAACCCCCTCCGGTTTCCTATCATGAAAAGCTAAAAATAAAATAAATAAATAAAAAATCCCCTCTTGGCTCTGGTAGAGTTAGGGGATAGGTAACCATTGTGAAACATACCCAGAGCTTCCTCTACATCAGATATCTGTTCCCTGGGCAAAGGCTTTGTCAGATTATTATCCCAAATGGGGGAAGTGCATTTCTCCCCTTTAAGTTTGACACCTATAGCCCTCCTGTCTTACTTAAAGGGGAAAACATATTAAACGCGTCAGTTTTAGAGGAATTAGATTGGGAATGTTGAATGTAGCTGGAGAAGAGAATGGGAGAAACAGGGAATTGAGATGGGAGGTATTTATGAAAACACTTGTGAAGGTCACAGTTCTAAAGACAGGCCCACTAAAAACACAAGTGTTGAATCAGAATTTTACAGGACAATACTCCCTCAACTCTTACAACCACACCAACAGGGCTCCAGTAAATAACAGTAAATAAAAGAGTTGAAGAGCTGAAAGAGTTACTAGTCACAGACTCTCTTTGAGGACTAGTATTTAAGGATACTTAAAATAAATGGGCAAGGCAAAACAAGACACTAGAGGAATTTGAAGCCTTTGGTCCCTACAAACATGACACACAGTTCAGCTTCTAGCCAGACTAGATTACCATAAATCTCCCTTCTAACTGCCTATTTGTCTCAGTTCCTATTACCTGAAACAAGATGTCTAGCTTTCAACAAAAAATTATAAGACATGTTAAAAGGTAAGAAAAAAAAGCACAGCCTACTGAAACTATAAAAATGCTAGAAGAAAACCTCAGGAAAACTCTTCTGGACATGGTCTAGGAAAAAATTCATGACTAAGACCTCAAAAGCACAGGCAACAAAAATTAAAATCGACAAATAACACTTATACTAAAAAGCTTCTGCACAGCAAAAGAAATAATCAACAGAAATAACAGAATGGGAGAAAATATTTGCAAACTATGCATCCAATAGGGACTCATATCCAGAATTTACAAAGAACTCAAATTACTTAACAATGAAAAGCAAATAATCTCATTAAAAGGTTGGTAAAGGAAATGAATAGACATTTTTCAAAAGAAAACATATAAGTGATTAACAGGCACATGAAAAAATGCTCAACATCAATAATCATCACAGAAATGCAAATTAAAGCCACAAAATCAGTCAGAATCACCATTATTAAAAAGATAAAAAAATAACAGATGTTAGCAAGGCTGTAGAGAAAAGGGAACACTTATACACTGTTGGTGGGAATGTAAACTAGTACAACCTCTATGGAAAACAGTGTGGAGATTTCTCAAAGAACTAAAAATAGAATTAACATTTAATCTAGCAGTTCCACTACTGGGTATCTACCCAAAGGAAAAGAATTCATTACATCCAAAAGATACCTGCCCCTGTATGTTTTTCACAGCACTATTCACAAGAGCTAAGATATGTAATCTTCCCTAGTGTCTATTTGCTCTGAGAATGTGCTACTTTGTCTTTCAGCTTCAACAGAGCTTTCTTCACCTCCTTGTTCCTCAGGGTGTACACAACAGGGTTGAGAAGGGGCGTCAGCACAGTGTAGAAAACGGCCACAACTCCATCCACAGCTTTCCTGGAGCCTGGCCTCAGGTAAATGAAAAGACCAGGGCCAAAGAAGCAAAGGACCACGATACAGTGGGAGGCACAGGTCTGAAAGGCTCTGTGCTTCCCCTCTGAGGTGCGGATCCGCAGGATGGAACAGACGATGGACACATAGGACAGCACTATCAGGACAAAGCAGCCCGAGGCCACTATTCCAACAGTCACAAAAATGACAGTCTCTATGGCTGAGGTGTCTGCACAGGCCAGTTTCAGGATGGGCGGTGCATCACACAAATAGTGCTGGATCCAGTTGGGTCCACAGTAGGGCAAATGGAAAGTCAATATGGCCTGGACAGCAGAGTGCAGAGAGCCACTGAGCCAAGTGCTGGTGGCCAGAAGAGTACACGAGCGCCCAGTCATCATGCTGGTGTACCTGAGCGGGTAACTGATGGCCAGGTAGCGATCACAGGACATGACCCTGTAGAGGAAACACTCGGTGCCCCCTAGGAAGTGAAAGAAATAGAGCTGAGCCATGCAGCTGTGGAAGGAGATAGCCCTGCCACTTGGGAACACCAAAGTCATCAGCAATTTGGGCACCGTGACAGTGGAGAACCACATGTCAATGAACGACAGGTTGGTGAGGAAGTAGTACATGGTGGTGTGGAGGTGAGAATCCACCCTGATCACCAGCAGGATGAGGAGGTTCCCCAGCACAGTGAGCACGTAAACCACCAGGAAGACTCCAAAGAGGGGGGCGTCCAGCGCTGGGGCATGGGGAAGGCCCATGAGGATGAACGCTGTCAGTAGGCTGGCGTTGGACATTTCTTCTCACCCTTGGTCTCTCTCCCTCTGGGAATATAAAGAGCACCCAGCATTTAGCACTTAATTGAGAAATGAGAATCCATTCTCTGTGTGGAAACTGCATCAAGCAGGTAGATAATTCTGGAGTTATTGTGGACTTTGCTTGTTAACAAAGCTTCCTTCATAAACTAATGAAGTGATTTCCTAGTCTTTCTCTGTCTCACATACACACACACAGAGACATATGCGGAAGAAATTAGGAGAAACGCATTGTCTTAGATTTTAATAGGTGTATAAATTACCACAAACTTAACTGGCTTAAAACATGCAAATTTATTGTCTCGCCCTCTCTGTGGGTCAGGTCAGCTGGGCCCTCTGTTTAGCTCTCATCAGGTTTTAATCAACATATCACCAAGGCCTGCAATCTCATCTGAGGTTGGGGATCATTCTCCAAGCTTCTTGTGGTTGTTGGCACGATTCGGTTCCTTGCAGTTTTAGGACTCAGGTTCCAGTTTCCTTGCTGTTTGTTGGCAGGACACGTAACTCTCAACTTACTGAGGTCACCCTAGGTCCAAGAAAGTCCTAGCTACTTGGCCTTCTTAAAACACCACAGGTTACTTCTTCAAAACCAACGAGACAGACTCTCTCCAGTTTGCTATGGCAAAGTATTACATAATGTTATGTAATGCAGTCACGGGGGTGATATTCCATCATATTAACAGGTCCCAGGCATACTCAAAGGAAGGTTATTAAATGGAAAGCATATACTAGACAGCAGGAATCTTGAAGGCTACTGCAAATTCTACCTACCACATTCATTTTTGCTTCCTTGCTCATGGGAAAACTTAAAAAAAAACACCAAGAATTTAATTGTTAGTGGCTGGGAATATTTGAAAACTGAACAGTTCAGCTAAATCATTTTCTAGTTTCCTCATATGTTATTTGACATTACTAACATCACCTACCTCACTGAGAAGTTATAAGCATTAAATAAGATGATACATATAAAGTACTAAGTACTGTGCCTGGCAGGTAGTAACTGCTCAATAAATGACAGTGAGTCTTATCACATTATGCCTTGCAGCAGTATTACAGAATTTCCAGTTTTGGTCTTAGGAAGAAAGAGAGTACATATATTCTTTCAGTGTTTTCAGAGAGTCCTTCTGAATCTAAGAGCTAGGTCTTCTTGGACTATTTTGTGCCTGATACTGTTACTGATGTCCTCACTACTGCCTGCTTTCAAAGGGCTTGTCCTTGGTCTCTCAGAGCAGGTAAGAATCTCAGCGCAACTCCATAATGGGATTCCCACGACCTCCCAAATGATCCAGAGAGCATCAAGGTTCATGCATAACTGTCCCCTGCCCCCATTTCTGCTACCCTAGAACACTTCCTATGTGGTTCTGAGAACATGGCATTCATATGTGCTCTCCCAAACACAATCCACTGGGTAGAGGCCAGCTGTCTTTCATACTCCTTCTACCCTAGGTTTCTAAATATATTCTAATATTGGCTTTGTTAGATATCATGTGTTGCCTCCACCATCTTCCTTTACTCCTCATTCTCATAAATCCAGGTAATGAATGATCTCACAAAGAAGACAATTCCATCAAGTCTCTCTCTTAATTAAGACCTAGAATCTGAGACAGGAAAAACGGGACCAATGTAAGAAGAGGGATCTATGCCACCTTGATGTCAAGAGAAGCTGGGATTCTGTATAATGGAAATCAGGGCCAAAATAAGGTTCTTTGCTTAATATTAATATTAATACAAAATATTGTCTTAGTTCAGGAGTCTTACTAATTGTTCAGTGGGCAAATACTATGAAACTTGTTCACCAGTGTGAGAGAAGCCATGATCTCTGCCCTTCAGAAATCCCAGAGAAGATACCTCCAGGGAATGTGGCTTAAGCTAGTTTAAAGAAAGGTTTTTGAAATATGTAAATAAATAGCAGAAAGGAGATTACTGCAATCACCAACATGGATATCAGAACTTTTAAAATAGAACCAAGATACTCTGAAATTTCTACTGCACCAGGAGGAACAATTCCCAGAATAGCTTCATGATCAGATTTGATGAAATGTGAAAATCCTCATCCAGTGAAGTCCAAGGTAGCCTGAGACCTAAAGCAAGAGTCTCAATCCGCAGGGTCAATGTTTGACTTGCATATTAACATACAGAAGTATACATAGCAACTTTGTCTCTATTAGTATCCCATCAATTACTATCTATCTATCTATGTATCTAACTGATTTTATAACAAAGTCTTAACAATTATCGAATATCTTATATCTGAATGGAAGTTTGACATAAAGGAAAGAAGGAAAGCAGGAGAAAATAAGTTAAATCTACATTTCTAAGAACTCATCTTACAGTAGGTGATTCATTTCAATAGTAAAACTCATCTGAGTTTTTGCCCCAATTTGTCACTTTCCACATGCTGTGTACAGGTGCTAAGTTTGCAAGATACCACTCAAAGAACAGATACAGTGTTAAGAAAGAGTGGTCCTTTTCTACTTAAGGACCAAACCAGTTGAAGTGCAGGGAATGGAAATGAATATGGGTAGGAACTTAAGTTGATTTGTGTCTCAGAGGATGGGATTCCTTTTCAGCTTTTAGGTTCCCTTGATGCATACAAAACCAACAGGAAGAGACCAATGAAAGGATCTTCATAAGCATGCACACATTTCCTTAGAGTTTTTTATTTAGCCTCCTGAGATGAGCCCATGCCTTCCTGGAATCAGTATTTGTACCTTAGAGGAAAGAATAACTGACTTACCCTTTTCTCTCACCAGTGGCTGAGAGACACTCACAACTGCTTGCTCTCAACTTAAAATTTTCCATAATCCATAATGGTCCTCACTTTTTGGTGCTCTCCAGCTCAGCATCACTCACTCGTTCACTGTCTATGGTGGTTTTAATCATCCAAATTCCCCAGCTTTTTCTGTTGTTTAGAGTTTCAGGGTGGCTTTTCCCCAGAGATCTACCTACCTAACATAATTATATCCCAATTGTATCAGTAATCATTAGATATTATTGCTGTCATAATTTTCATTGCTTTTACAACATGAATAAACAATTTTGATATTTCATGCATACGTCTCCTTTTGTAAATTGACTTTTTAGAATCTTTATTCATTGCTTTTTTTTGAGGTAATAGTCTTTATCTTACTGACTTATCTGAAGTTTTACAAATTGAAAACATTAATTTGTTTTTTATTGTAAGGTAAAACGTACTTTGAAATTTATCACCACTTAAATACTTTTTAAACTTGCATAGATATTTTTGCTGTTCTAGGAAATTTTATAAACTGATTCCAATATGTTTTCTGATATTGGCATTTTGCTTTAAAGGGATTTTCTTGATCAGGCGCAGTGGCTCATGCCTGTAATCCCAGTACTTTGGGAGCCAAGGCAGGTGGATCGCTTAAGCCCAGGAGTTGGAGACCAGCTTGGGCAACACAGTGAAACCCTGTCTCTACAAAAACTACACAAATTAGCCAAGTATGATGGTGGGTGCATGTAGTCCCAGCTACTCAGGAGGCTGAGGTGGGAGGATCGCTTGAGCCTTGGGAGGCCAAGGTTGCAGTGAGTTGAGGTGACACCACAGCACTCCAGCCTGGACAACAGAGCCAGATCCTGTCAAAAAAATTTTTTTTCTCACATACAAGTTTATCAGTATTCACTTATGTAATATTTAATGTTTTAAGGCCTTTTCCTTCATTTAAATATTTACTTCATCTGAAATTAATTTTATTTTATGCGTGACATAAGGATGTTTTTATTTTCTATATAATTTGGGATTGTAGTTGTAATTACCTCATTAACTGAAATGGTTTTTCTTTAAGGAATTTGGTTTAAGTTCCCAATTATTTTTGTATTCTCTTTTATACTTTGTGTATTAACCTCTAGTTTTATTACATTATCATCAAAGAAAATGAGTGGCAAATTTTCTATTTCAAAATGTAATAACTTTAGTCTCATGTATTATTTTTATGGTTAGCTTCCTCTATTTGTTTATTTTCTTTAAAAATATGTTTTTAATTAATTTTTTCCAAGAGGGTTTTGCACGCCTATAAAATCTCTTACATAAATAAGTGTCATACAGTCCTCCACATTGATATCTCCTATCTACTATAATTGAGTTTTTATGTGTCTAGTATGACATAGGGTCAAGACTAATTTTTTTATTCTGAATACTCAGATACCTTAACATAATTTATTAAAGAAGGTAATCTTGCTTTATTGCTCGGCAGTGTCATCTTTGTCATATGAGTGTGTATCAGTCTATTCCTTTACGCTGTATTCAGTTACAATTTTCTATTTGTCTAGCCCCATATAAATAAGACACTCCTGAGTTACTATAGCTGTGTAATAAGTTCTGATAACTAGTGTTGTCAATCTTTCAGTTAAGTTTTATTTCTTCAAGATAATATTGACCATTTTGGGACTTATTCAATCCAAACTTTAGGATCCACATGTCCATAGCTGCAAAATCAAATGCTGGGATTTTACTTGGAATAGTATTGAATGTATAGATCTAGTTGAATAAAATTGGCCTTTTTAAAATATGAGTCTCCGTGTGTGCAAGTTGTAAACCTACATTCTTTTAGCAAATTTTATATTTATCTGAAAATATTTTATTTCTATTGTCATGGTCTTACACATGTTACTTAAAATTAAATGCAGCTCCAGGTTCTCATCCTCAGCACTATCGACATTTTGGCCATGATAAGCTTTGTTGTGAGGGTCTCTCCTGTGCATTGTGGAATGCTTAACACCCCTGACCTATAGCCAATAGATGCCAGTGCCTGTGAGAAGCAAGAATATTTCCAGACATTGCCAAATGAACCAGGGGACAAAACAGCCCCAAGTGATCTAGATATTTAAGAGATTTAATGTTTTATATTGAATCTTAACAAACATAATAAAATAGGCGCATGTGATAAGTGCATAAACTATTATATATGTAGCTGTAAATCGTACATTATCATTGCTGGATAGTAATCTATTCTGTGAATACACAATTTCTATTTGATTCATTGATAATATTTAAATATTAATAGCTTGCTATTTTTGCCCATTAAAAATAGTGTTTCTAGAAATGTTTTCCAATACATGTATGTAAATAGACAGATACATATACATACATGATGAAAACCTATATGTTAAATATGCTAAATGCTACAGACTTTCTTTTGTATACACGTTTGGATTTGTATAGACACATACAAATATACAGATACATTAAAACCAAAAAGAAATTTGAACAGCTACAGCCACAATTAGAAAAATGACCTCAAATATTTGTTGCTATTTTTGAACGATGTCTCCATAATGGTAAATTGTTAAGTTTGTGTGCAAAAAAAATCAAACAAAACACAAAACTTTTTATCAAGTTGTAAACATGAAGGACTCAACCATCTATCCCGGAGATTCGATGAAAATATTTTTTTAAATTAATATGAACCTATTGATGAGAAATGAATCAATAAATCAGAATATAAGCATGTTCCTCATACACATAAGTCTAGCTGTGAGGTTAAAACTGTCTTAGACAATCTGTGGAAGAATTATAACTGTGCAGGTGTTTTGGAATAATGTTTAACACTGAGAACTATACATATAATCAATTTCACATGAATAACTAAATTATATTACTATTTTTAAACAAACTAGTGTATCTACTTCCTAGTATTTATTCTCCCTGAGAATGTGCTACTTTGTCTCTCAGTTTCAACACAGCTTTCTTCACCTCCTTGTTTCTCAGGGTGTACACAACAGGGTTGAGAAGGGGTGTCAGCACAGTGTAGAAAATGGCCACAACTCCATCCACGACGTCCCTGGAGCCTGGTCTCAGGTAAATGAAAACACAGGGAACAAAAAAGCAAAGGACCACGATGCAGTGGGAGGCACAGGTCTGAAAGGCTCTGTGCCTCCCCTCTGAGGTGTGGATCCGCAGGATGGAACAGACGATGGACACATAAGACAGCACTATCAGGAGAAAGCAGCCCGAGGCCACTAGCCCAATGTCCACAAAGATGACCATCTCGTTGGCTGAGGTGTCTGCACAGGCCAGTTTCAGGATGGGCGGTGCATCACACAAATAGTGCTGGATCTGGTTGGGTCCACAGTAGGGCAAATGGAAAGTCAATATGGTCTGGACAGCAGAGTGCAGAGAGCCACTGAGCCAAGTGCTGGTGGCCAGGAGGGCACATCTGCTCCCACTCATCATGCTGGTGTACCTGAGCGGGTAACTGATGGCCAAGTAGCGATCATAGGACATGACTGTGTAGAGGAAACACTCGGTGCTCCCCAGGAAGTGGAAAAAATAGAGCTGAGCCACGCAGCTGTGGAAGGAGATAGCCCTGCCGCTTGGGGACACCAAGGTCATCAGCATTTTGGGCACCGTGACAGTGGAGAACCACATGTCAATGAAGGACAGGTTGGTGAGGAAGTAGTACATGGGGGTGTGGAGGTGAGAATCCACCCTGATCACCAGCAGGATGAGGAGGTTCCCCAGCACAGTGAGCACGTAAACCACCAGGAAGATTCCAAAGAGTGGGGCGTCCAGCCCTGGGGCATGGGGAAGGCCCGTGAGGATGAACGCTGTCACGAGGCTGGTCTTGGACATTTCTTCTCACCCTTGGTCTCTCTCCCTCTGGGGATATAAGGAGCACCCAGCATTTACCAATTAATTGATAACTGAGAAGTCATTCTCTATGTGAAAACCAGGTAGATAATTCTGGAGTTTTCATGGACTTTGCTTGTTACAAAGCTTCCTTCATAAAGCTAATGAAGTGATTTCCTAGTCTCTCTCTCTCTCTCTCTCTCTCTCTCTCTCTCTCTCTCTCTCTCTCTCTCTCTCTCTCTGTCACATACAAACACACACACAGAGACATACGCAGAATAAATTAGGAGAAACACATTGTCTCGATTTCAATGGGTGCATAAATTACCACAAACTTACTGGCTTAAAACATGCAAATTTATTGTCTCGCCCTTTCTGTGGGTCAGGTCAGCTGGGTTCCCTGTTCAGGGTCTCACCAGGTTTTAATCAATGTATCGCCAGGGGCTGCAATCTCATCTGAGGCTGGGATCATCTTCCAACCTTATGGGGGTTGTGTGCATGATTCAATTCCTTGTAGTTTTAGGACTGAGGTCCCAGTTTTCTTGCTGTTTGTTGGCAGGACATATCACTCTCACCTTACAGAGGTCCCCCTAGGTGCTAGAAAGTCCTAGCTACTTGGTCTTCTTAAAACACAACAGGTTACTTCTTTGAAACCAATGAGATAAACTCTCTCCAGTTTGCTATGACAAAATGTTATATAATGTTACATAATGCAGTCAAAGGGGTGATATCCCATCATATTAACAGGTCCCAGGCATACTCAAAGGAAGGTTATTAAACAGAAAGTGTATACCAGTGGGCAAGAATCTTGAAGGCTGCTTGGAATTCTATCTACCACATTCTATTTTCGCTGCCTTGCTCGTGGGAAAACTTAAAAAAAAAACACCAAGAATTTAATTATTAGTAGCAAGGAGTATTTGAAAACTGAACAGTACTAGTAAATCATTCTCTAGTTCCCTCTTATGTTATTTGGCATTACTAACATCACCTACTCACCGAGAAATTATAAGCATTAAATAAGATGATACATTTAAACACGTAGTACTGTGACTGGCAGGTAATAACTGCTCAATAAATCACAGTGAGTCTTACCACATTGTGCCTTGCAGCAGTATTATGGAATTGCTGTTTTTGATCTTAGAGAGAAAGAGAGTACATATATTCTTTCAGTGTTTTCAGAGAGTTCTGAATCTAAGAGCTAGGTCTTTTTGTACTATTGTATCCCTGATACAGTTACTGATGTCCTCACTACTGCCTGCTTTTAAAGGGCTTCTCCTAGGTCTCTCAGAGCAGGTAAGAATCTCAGCATAACTCTATAGTAGGATTCCCATGTCCTCCCAAATCATCCAGAGAGCACCAAGCTTCTTACGTGACTGCCCCCACCCCCATTTCTGTTACCCTAGAACACTTCCTATGTGGTTCTGAGAACATGGCATTCATATGTGCTCTCCCAA
Organism: Homo sapiens; assembly: GCF_000001405.40. NCBI lineage: Eukaryota > Metazoa > Chordata > Mammalia > Primates > Hominidae > Homo > Homo sapiens. The sequence goes on along the minus strand of NC_000011.10, from coordinate 124,021,561 downwards.
ACACAATCTACTGGGTAGGTGCCAGCTGTCTTGCATTCTCCTTCTATCCTAGGTTTCTAAATATATTCTAATATTAACTTTGTTAGATATCACATGTTGGCCCCTCACCATCTTCCTCTACTCCTTATTCTCATAAATCCAGGTAATGAATCATCTCACAAGAGAAGACAATTCCATGAAGTCTGTGCCTCTCAATTAAGACCTAGAACATGAGACAGGAAAAAAATGGGACCAATGCAAGAAGAGAGGCCTATGCCACCTTGATGTCAAGAGAAGCTGGGATTCTGTATAATGGAAATTGAGGCAGAAGTAAGATTTTTTACTTAATACAAAATGTTGTATTAGTTCAGGATTCTTACTAATTGTTCAGTGGGAGAACACTATGAAACTTGTTCATCGATATGAGAGAAATTATAGTCTCTACTCTTCTCAAAGCCCAGTTAAGATACCTCCAGGGAATGTGGCTTAAGCTACGTTAAAGGAAGGTTTGTCAAATATGTAAATAAATTGCAGAAAGGAGGCTACTGTAATCACCAGCATGCATATCAGAACTTTTAAAATGGAACCAGTATTACTTTGAAATTTCTACTGTACCAAGAGGACGAATCCCCAGCAGAGCTTCATGATCGGTTTTGATGGAATGTGAAAATCCTCATCCAGTGGAGTCTAAAGCAAGAGTTTCAATCCGCAGGGTCAATGTTTGAGTTGAATATTAGCATATAGTAGTATATGTAGCGACTTTGTCTCTATCTATCTGTCTATCTAACGGATTTTATGACAAAGTCTTAACAATTCTCTAATTGTCTGAATTAAAGTTTGAGATAAAGAAAAGAGGGAAAGCAGGAGAAAATAAGTTAAATCTACATTTCTAAGAACTCACCTTATAGTATGTGATTCATTTTAACAGTAAAACTCATCTGAGTTTTTGCCCCAATTTGTCACTTTCCACATGCTGTGTACAGGTGCCAAGTTTGCCGGATACCACTCAAAGAACAGACACATGGTGTTAAGAAAGAGTGGTCCCTTTCTATTCAAGGACCAAACTAGTGGAAGTGCAGGGAATGGAAATGAAGATGGGTAGGAACTTAACTTGATTTATGTCTCAGAAGATGGAATTGCTCTTGGGATTTTGGGTTCCCTTGATGAGCACAAAACAACAGGAAGAGGCCAATGAAAAGTTCTTCATGAGCATGCATGCATTTCCTTAGTGTTTCTTATTTGAACCCCCCTGAGAAGAGCCCAGTGTCTTTCTGGAACCAATATTTATACATACGAAGAAAGAAGGAGGACTGACTTATCCTTTTCCCTCACCAGTGATTGAGAGACACTCATAACTGCTCGCTCTCTACTCTAAATTTTCAATGATCCATAATGGTCCTGGAAAATTTGTTGGCGCTCTCCAGCTCAGCCTCACCATCTCATTCACCATTTTTGTATGGTGGTTCAAAAGATCCAAATTCCCAAAGTTTTTCTGTTGTTTACAGTTTCAGGGTGGCTTTTCCCCAGAGATCTACCTACCTAACGTAATTATATCCCAATTGTATAAGTAATCATTACATATTATTGCTGTTATCATTTTCATTGCTTTTGCAAGCCTGAATAAACACTTTTGATATTTCATGTGTACATCTCCTTTCGAAGATTAACTTTTTAGAATCTTTATTCATTGCTTTTTTCGTGGTAATAGTCTTTATCTTATTGATTTATCTGAAGTTTTACAAATTGAAAGCATTAATTTGTTTTTCACTGTAAGGTAAAATGTACTTTCAAATTTATTGCCATTTAAATGTTTTTAAATTTGTATAGATATGTTTACTGTTCAAGGAAATTTTATAAATTGATTCTACTATGTTTTCTGATGTCAGTATTTTGCTTTAAAAGGATTTTCTTCGCCTATATTGGTGGCTCACACCTGTAATCTCAGCACTTTGGGAGGCCAAGGCAGGCAGATCACTTGAGCCCAGGAATTGGAAACCAGCCTGGGCAACATGGTGAAACCCCGTCTGTGCAAAAAATACAAAAATTAGCTAGGCATGGTGGTGAGTGCCTGTAGACCCAGCTACTCAGGAGGCTGAGGTGGAAGGATCACTTGAGCCTAGGAGGCCAAGGTTACAGTGAGTGGAGATGGTGCTACGGCACTCCAGCCTGAGCGACAGAGCCAGACCCTGTCTCAAAAACAAACAAACAAACAAACAAAAAACAAAACCAACTTCTTGCATACAAGTTTATCAGTTTTCACTTACATAATATTTACTGCTTTAAGGTTTTTTTCCTTCATTTAAATCTTTATTTCATCTGAAATTAATTTTACTTTATGTGTGACATAAGCATGTTTTTATTTTCTATATAATTTGAGATTGTAGTTGTAATTACCTTATTAACTGAAGTGGGTTTCTTCTTAAAAAATTTGATTTAAGATCTCAATTATTTTTATATTCTCTCTTATACTTTGCTTATTAACCTCTAGTTTTATTACATTATTATCAAAGAAAATGAGTGGCAAAATTTCTATTTTAAAATGTAATGACTTTAGTCTCATGTATTATTTTTTGGTTAGCTTTGTTTGTTTATTTTCTTTAAAATTTTTATTGCAAACAAATGCACATCATCACTGGTCATTAGAGAAATGCAAATCAAAACCACAATGAGACACCATCTCATGCCAGCTAGAATGGTGATCATTAAAAAGTCAGGAAACAACAGATGCTGGACAGGATGTGGAGAAATGGGAACGCTTTTAAAGTTGGTGGGAGTGTAAATTAGTTCAACCATTGTGGAAGACAGTGTCACGATTCCTCAAGAATCTAGAACTAGAAATACCATTTGACCCAGCAATCCCGTTACTGGGTATATACCCAAAGGATTATAAATCATGCTACTATAAAGACACATGCACATGTATGTTTATTGCAGCATTGTTCACAATAGCAAAGACTTGGAACCCACCCAAATGTCCATCAATGATAGACTGGATAAAGAAAATGTGGCACATATACACCATGGAATACTATGCAGCCATAAGAAAGGATGAGTTCATGTTCTTTGTAGGGACATTGATGAAACTGGAAACTAATATCTTCCAGCAAAGTAACACAAGAAGAGAAAACCAACACCACATGTTCTCACTCATAAGTGGGAGTTGAACAATGAGAACACATGGACACAGGGAGGGGAACATCACACAAGGGGGCCTTTTGGGGGGTGGGGGGCTGGGGGAGGGATAGCATTAGGGGAAATACCTAATGTAACCGATGAGTTGATGGGTGCAGCAAACCAACATGGCACATGTATTGCTACATAACAAACCTGCACGTTGTGCACATGTATGCCAGAACTTAAAGTATAATAATAAAAAATAAATTTAAAAAAGTATTTTAATTAATTTTTTTCCAAGAAGGTTTTGCATCACTAAAAAGTGTCTTACCTAAAGAAGTGTCATACAGTCCACCACATTTATATCTCTTATCTACTATAATTGAGTTTTTTATGTGTATAGTATGAAATAGGATCGAGACTAATTTTTTTTATTCTGAATACCCAGATACCCCAAAATAATTTATTCAAGAAAGCAATCATGCTTTATTGCTTTGCAGTGTCATCTTTGTCATACGAATATGTATCAGTCTATTTCTTTACTCTGTATTCAGTTCCGTTTTTCTATTTGTCTAGTCTCATACAAATGCAACACTCTCTGAGTTACTAGAGCTTTGCCATAAGTTGTGATAACTAGTGTTGTCAATCTTTCAGTTATCCTTTATTTCTTCAAGAGATTCTTGACCATTTTGGGACTCATTCCATTTCAATCCGCACTTTAAGATCCACATGTCCATAGCTGCAAAATCAAACGCTGGGATTTTACTTGGAATAGCATCAAATCTATAGATCAATTTGAATGGAATTGGCATTTTAAAAATATGAGTCTCCATGTGCACTTTATAATCCTAGATTCATTCAGCAAATTTTATATTTATCTGAAAATATTTTATTTCTATTGTCGTGGTCTTACACATGTCGCTTAAAATTAAATTCAGCTCCGGGTTCTCATCCTCAGCACTATCGGCATTTGGCCATGGTAAGTTTTGTTGTGAGGGTCTCTCCTGTGCATTGTGGAATGTTTAACACTCCTGACCTATAGCCAATAGACGCCAGTGCCTGTGACAAGCAAGAATATTTCCAGACATTGCCAAGTGAACTAGGAGACAAAACAGCCCCAAGTAATCTAGATATTTAAGAGATTTAATTTTTTATATTGGATCTTAACAAACATTAAAAATGGGTGCAAATGTATAAAGTGCGTAAACAATTATATATGTAGTTGTTAGATCATTCGTTATCATTGCTGGATAGTAATCTATTCTGTGAGTATACAATTTCTAATTGATTCATTGGTAATATTTTAAATATTAATAGCTAGCTATTCTTGCCAATTAAAATAGTGTTTCTAGAAATGTTTTCAGATATATATGTAAATAGGCAAATACATACACATACATAAATATATGAAAACCTATATGTTAAATATGCTAAATGTCATGTACTTTCTTTTGTATACATGTTTGGAATAGTATATACACATACAAATATATAGATACGTTAAAACCAAAAACAAATTTGAACAGCCACAATTAGAAAAATGATATTTTTTGCTGGTTTTGAATAATATTTGTTGCTGGTTTTGAACTATGTCTCCATGATGGTAAATTCTTAAGTTTATGTGTATATGAAATCAAACAAAACACAAAAACCGTTTATCAATTTATAAACATGAATTAATCATCTATCCCTGAGATTTGATTAAAATATGTTTTAAACTTAATATAAACCTATTGATGAGAAATGAGTCAATAATTCAGAATATAATCATGTTCATCATAAATATAAGTCTAGCTGTGAGGTTAAAACTGTCTTAGACAATCTGTGGAAGAATTATAACTGTGCAGGTGTTTTGGAATAAAGTTTAACACTGAGAACTATACATATAATCAATTTCACATGAATAACTAAATTAGATTACTATTTTTAAACAAACTAGTGTATTTACTTCCTAGTATTTATTTCCTCTGAGGATGTGCTACTTTGTCTCTAAGTTTCAACACAGCTTTCTTCACCTCCTTGTTTCTCAGGGTGTACACAACAGGGTTGAGAAGGGGCGTCAGCACAGTGTAGAAAATGGCCACAACTCCATCCATGGCATCCATGGAGCCTGGCCTCAGATAAATGACAACACAGGGAACAAAGAAGCAAAGGACCACAATACAGTGGGAGGCACAGGTCTGAAAGGCTCTGCGCCTCCCATCTGAGGTGCGGATCCGCAGGATGGAACAGACGATGGACACATAGGACAGCACTATCAGGACAAAGCAGCCTGAGGCCACTATCCCAATGTCCACAAAGATGACCATCACGTTGGCTGAGGTGTCTGCACAGGCCAGTTTCAGGATGGGCGGTGCGTCACAGAAGTAGTGCTGGATCTGGTTGGGTCCACAGTAGGGCAAATGGAAAGTCAATATGGTCTGGACAGCAGAGTGCAGAGAGCCACTGAGCCAAGTGCCGGTGGCCAGGAGGGCACACCTGCTCCCACTCATCATGCTGGTGTACCTGAGCGGGTAACTGATGGCCAAGTAGCGATCATAGGACATGACTGTGTAGAGGAAACACTCGGTGCTCCCCAGGAAGTGGAAAAAATAGAGCTGAGCCACGCAGCTGTGGAAGGAGATAGCCCTGCCGCTTGGGGACACCAAGGTCATCAGCATTTTGGGCACCGTGACAGTGGAGAACCACATGTCAATGAAGGACAGGTTGGTGAGGAAGTAGTACATGGGGGTGTGGAGGTGAGAATCCACCCTGATCACCAGCAGGATGAGGAGGTTCCCCAGCACAGTGAGCACGTAAACCACCAGGAAGATTCCAAAGAGGAGGGCGTCCAGCCCTGGGGCATGGGGAAGGCCTGTGAGGATGAATGCTGTCACGAGGCTGGCGTTGGACATTTCTTCTCACCCTTGGTCTCTCTCCCTCTGGGGATATAAAGAGCACCCAGCATTTAGCACTTAATTGAGAAATGAGAATCCATTCTCTATGTGGAAACTGCATCAACCAGGTAGATAATTCTGGAGTTATCCTGCACTTCGCTTGTTACAAAGCTTCCCTCACAGAGATGATGATGAAATTATTTCAGCCTCTCTCACACACATGCACACAGGTGCACACACACAGAGACACACATGCAGAAGAAAGTAGAGAAACACTATATTAGATTTCCATTGATATATTAAAAAATAACACAAACTTAGTGCCATAAAACGTGTAAAATTTTTATCTCACCCTCTCTGTGGGCCAGGTCAGCTGGACCCTCTGCTGAGAGTCTCAACAGGTCTCAATCAATGTGTCCCCAGAAGCTGAAATCTCATGGGAGGACCACAGTCCTCTTCCAAGTCTATTGCAGGTGTTGGCAGTATCCCATTCTTGCAGTTTTTGGGCAGAGGTCTCTGTTTTTTTGCTGGTTTTTGGCAGGACATATCAATCTCATTTTACAGAGGTCACCCTATGTCCTAAAATCCTCCTCACCTGGCCTTCGATGACATGACAGCTTACTTCTTCAAATTCAGGAAAAGAATCTCTGTCCAGTTTACTGTAGCAAAATGTTCTGTAACATAATTGTAATTGGGGTGATAGCCCATCATAGTCACAGGTCCCATGCACACTGAAAGGTTATTAAATAGGAAATGTACACCAGTGGGCAGGAATTTAGAGGGCTCCTTGGGATTCCACCTACCATATTCTATTTTCATTGCAGAGTTCATGGGAAAACTTAAAAGAGCAAGAATTTAATTGTTACTAGGAATGAAACACAATACACATAAATTATCCACTAGTTTCCTCATATGTTATTATATTTGACATCACTAACATCACCCACCTCGCTGATAAATTATCAGCATTAAATAAGGTTATATATGTATATATACGTACATGCATTTCCAACTGAGGTACCAGGTTCACCTCACTGGGGAGTGCCGGAAAGTGGGTGCAGGACAGTGGGTGCAGCACACCATGTGTGAGCCGAAGCAGGGCGAGGCATCGCTTCATCTGGGAAGCGCAAGGGATCAGGGAATTCCCTGACTAAATACTATCCCTGGCAGGTAATAACTGCTTGATAAATGATAGTGAGTTTTATGACATTGTGCCTCGCAGCAGTGTTATGGATTTGCCATTCTTTGTCTTAGATAGAGTTCATATATTCTCTGAGTGTTTTCAGAGAGTCCTTAATCTAAGAGCTATGTCTTTGTGGACTATTTCATGCCCAATATTGTTACTGATGTCCTTACTATTGCCTGCTTTTAAAGGGCTTCTCCTAGGTCTCTTAGAGAAGGTAAGAATCTCAGCACAACTCTATAGTGGGATTCCTACAACCTCCCACCTCCCAAATTATCCAGAGAGCACCAAGCTTCATACATGACTGGCCCTGTTTCTCTTACACTAGGCCATCCCCTGGGAGGTTCTAAGAACATGATGTTCATATGTGCTCTCCCAACTACAATCTACTAGATAGGGGCTAGCTTTCTGTTGTACATCACTCTATCCTAGATGTGTAAATGTTTCCTAATATTGGCTTCGTTAGAGATAACATTTTGCCCCCCATGATCTTCCCCTCCTCCACATATTCATAACCCCAGGCAATGCATAATAAAAGACAATTCTTTCAAGTCTATGTTTCTTTTTTAATACCTGCCACCTAAGACAGGAAAACAGAACCAATGCAAGAGGAAGGATATATATTGGCGTGATGTCCAGAAAAGCTGAGATTCTGTACAATTGGTATTCAGGTTGAAATGATGTTTTTAACTGCATACAAAATGTTTTCTTAGTCTAGGCTTGTTATGAATTGTTCTGTGGGGAAGACTATGAAACTGATTCACTGATATGGAAGAAACCAGGATATCTGCAGTTTACAGAACCCAGGTAAAATGTATCCTGACATTACCACCAGGAAATGCAGCTGAAGCTACATTAAAGCAAGGGTTTTCAAACATGTAAATAAATAGCAGAAGCAGCATTATTATAATCACCGACATGGATATCAGAACCTTAAAAATAGAACCTATAACTCTGAAATTTCTACTGTACCAGCAGGACCCAATCCTCAGGAATACAGCATAATCAGATTTTATGAAATATGAAAATTTTATGAGGTGAAGTCCATTGTTCCCTGATACTTAAGGCAGGAGTCTCAATCAGTAAAGACAATGTTTGCCTTGACTATCCCTGATGAAGACATTTGGTCCCTATTTGTATAACCTCAATTACATCACTCTACCTTGATTAATTTTAGATCAATTTTAGAACACATTCTAATAATTCCTGAATATCTTAGCTCTGAATTAAAGTTAAGATAAAGAAAAGAAGGGAAGATAGAGAAAATAAGTTTAAATCTGCATTTCTAAGGACTCACCTTGCAGTATGTGATTCTTCTCAGTAGTAAAACTCATCTAACTTTTTCCCCCAATTTTTCACTTTCTACCCACTACGTATAGGCACTAGTTTGCAAGATATCACTCAAACAACCGGTGCACAGTGTTGAGAAAGAGTGGTCCATTTCTATTTAAGGACCAAACTAGTTGAAGTGCAGGGAATGGAAATGAACATGGGCAGGAACTTAACTTGATTTGTGTCTCAGAGGATGGGATTGCTCTGGGGCTTTTGGGTTCCCCTGAGGAGCACAAAACAACAGGAAGAGACCAATGAAAAGTTCTTCATAAGCATGCATGCATTTCCTTAGTGTTTCTTATTTGAACCCTCCTGAGAAGAGTCCTTATCTTCCTGGAACTAATATTTGTATCTAAGAGGAAAGAAGGAGGAATGACTTACTCTTTTCCCTCACCAGTGATTGAGAGACACTCACAACTGCTTGCTCTCAACTTAAAATTTTCCAGAATCCATAATTGTCCTCATTTGGTGCTCTGCAGCTCAGCATCACTCTCTCATTCGTCTTTGTATAGTGGTTCAAAACACCCAAATTCCCAAACTTTTTTTGTTGTTTAGAGTTTCAGAATGGCTCTTCCCCAAAGATAAACCTACCTAAAATAATTATTTCCCAGTTGTATAAGTAATAACTAGATAGCACTGCTGTCATAATTTTCATTGCTTTTACAAGCATGAGTAAACACTGTTCAACATTTCATGCATATATCTCCTTTTGAAAATCAACTTTTTAAGATCTTTACCGACTTCTTTCCTTTTAGATAATAGTCTTTATCTTATTAACTTGTCTGAAGTTTTACAAATTAAAAACATTAATTCTTTGTTTTATTGTAAGATAAAATGTGCTCAAATTTTTGTTAAATAATTTTTATTTGTACAGATGATTTTAATGTTCTAGGATAGTTTATGAATTGATTCCAATATATTTCTGGTGTTAGTATTTTGCTTTCAAAGGATTTTCTTGTACACAGGCTTATTACTTTTCACTTATATAATATCTAATGCTTTAAGTTTTTTTTTCCTTCATTATATCCCTATTTCATTGGAAGTTAATTTTACTTCACATGTAACATCAGGATGTTTTTATTTGCTATATAATTTTAATTATAGTTATAATTACCTCATTAACAGAAGGTGTTTTTATGGATTTTGTTTAAATTCTCATGGTTTTGTTTTCTGTCTTATAACTTGCTTATTAAACTCTGGTTTTATTACATTATATGCAAAGAAAATAAGCTGAAAATTTTCTATTTCAAAATGTAATAACTTTAATGTATCATTTTTATGGTTAGCTTCTTCTGTCTGTTTTCTTTGAAATATATTTACTAACTGAATGTCATAAAATCTACTGCATTTTTATCTCCTATCCATTGTAATTGATTTTTTATGTGTATAATATGAGATAGGGTCAAGATTATTTTTTCATTCTGAAAACCCAATAACTCTAAATAATGTATTGAAGAAACCATTATTGATTTACTGCACTGAAGTGCCATCTTTGTTATATGAATATATACAAGTCTATTTCTTTCATCCTCTCTTCATTTCCATACAAATACTTATACCAATTCTACACTTTCTGAATTACTATAACTTCATAATAGGTTTTGGTATCTGGTGTTGTGTATCTTTTGACTGTATTTTATTTCTGCAAGACTGCCTTGATCATTTTCCTGATCCATTTCATTTCAATATACACCGTAGGATCTACATATTCATATCTGCAAAATCAAATGCTGGGATTTTATTGGAATTACATTGAATCTATATATCAATTCAAAGAGAATTGGTGACTTTAAAATATGAATCTTCCATTTTATATGCATATAGTAATGCCCAATTTCTTCAGCAACTTTTATATTTCTTTGAAAATGTCTTGTTATTTCTATTGTAGTGGTCTCACACATTTTTACTTAAAGTTAAAGTCAGATCAAGGTTTCTCATATTCAGCACAATGAATGTTTCGAGCAAGATAAGCCTTGTGATGAGGGTCTGTGCTATGCACTATGGGATGTTTACCCACATCCCTGACCTCTAGCCACTGGATGCAAGCACCTGTGACCTGCAACAATATCTCCAGACATTGCTAAGCAAAACTGGCAGGGCAAGATTGCCCTCACTGATCTAGATATTTAATTTTTTTATATTGAATGTTAATAAACATAAATGAGCACAAAAGATAAATGCATATATCATCTTACATGTAGCTATAGATCATATATTATCATTGCTGTATAGTAATCCATTGTGTGAATATACAACAATTTATATTACATTCATTATTTGATAGTCATTTTGAATAGTTTGCTATCTCTGCCAATTTAATACGGTGTTTCTACAAATAATATTTTAGGGGATATATGTACATATAAATGTATATGTGTGTGTGTGTGTTGAATTTTCATTAACATATCTATACATTATATATTATATGCTTTCTTTTGCATACATTTGGATTTGTATATACATGTACAAATGCATAGATATACTAAAACAACCAAAAAGATATTTAAATAGAAATAGCCACAAACAGAAAAATGACCTCTCATATTTGTTATCCTTAAACGATATCCCCCACGATTGTAAATTCTTAAATTTTTGTGTACACACAAAAAAATACAAAAGCATATCATCAGCTCACATATATGAATGATTCCACTGTGTATCCCTGAGACCCAACTACAATATATATATATATATATTTTTAAAAGTTAAAAAAATCTATTGATGAGAAATGCATCAATAGATACTACAAGCATGTTCATCATAAATAAAAATCTAGCTGTGAATTTAAAAATGTCTTAGATAATCTGTGAAAGAATTATAACTGTGCAAGTTGTTTGGAATAATGTTTAATGCTGAGACCTATACATGTAATAAATTTCACTTGGATAACTAAATTATATTACTAATTTTGAATTGCCCACTAAGAACTATCAACTCTTAGTTACCCACTCAGATCTGCCAGGATGATGAGTGGGAGCCCGTGTGCCCCCCGGGCCACTAGCATTTGGCTCACTTCGTGGGGAGTGTTTTCACTACCTGGGAAGTGCTGAGTATTTCCTCTATAGCGATCATAGGACATGACCGTGTAGAGCAAACACTCGGTGCTCCCCAGGAAGTAGAAGAAATAGAGTTGGGTCATACAACTGTGGAAGGACACAGCCTTGCCACACAGGGACAACAAGGTCCTCGGCATTTTGGGCACCATGACAGTGAAGAACCACAAGTCAATGAAGGACAGATTGGTGAGGAAGTAGTACTTGGGGGTGTGGAGGTGAGAGTACACCCTGATCACCAGCAGGATGAGGAGGTTCCCCAGCACAGTAAGCACATAAACCACCAGGAAGACTCCAAAGAGTGGGGCGTCCAGAGCTGGGACATGGGGAAGGTCCATGAGGATGAATGCTGTCATGAGTTGGACATTTCTTCTCACCCTTCATCTCTCTCCCCACTGGGATATAAAGAGCATCCAGCATGTAGCAGTTAATTGAGAACTGATAACCCATTCTCTATGTGGAAACGGCATCAACCATGGTAGATAATTCTACAGTTATCCTGGCCTTCCCTGTTACAAAGCTTCTTTCATAAAGATGAAGTAATTTTCCAATCTTTCTCTCTCTCTCTCTCTCTGTTACTCAAACACAAACACACATAAATAGAGACCCACATGCAGAAGAAAGTAGAAGAAACACACTGTATTAGATTTTCACTGATATATTAAAAATGACCATAAACAGTGGCATAAAGCATGTAAATTTATTATTTAACCCTCTCTGTGGGTCAGGTCAGTTGGACCCTCTGCTCAAGGTCTCAGCAGGTTTTAATCAGTATATCAGCCAGAGGCTGCAATTTCATTTGAGGCTTGGGATCATCCTCCAAGATTATTGCTTTTGGCACGATTCAGTTCCTTACAGTTTTAGGACTGATGTCCCAGTTTTCCTGTTGGTTGTTGGCAGGGCATATCACTCTCAGCTTATAGAAGCCATCCTAGATCCTAGGATCCTCATTACCTGGCCTTCTACAACATGACAGCTTACTTCTTTAATACCAGCAAGAAAATCTCTCTCCAGTTTGCTCTGCTAATGTATTATGTAATATAATGGAATCAGTGGAGTGAAATCCTGTCATTTTCCCAAGTCCCACCCACACTAAGGGGACAGTGATTATATAGGGAGGATATACAACGAAGGTGGTCTAGGGGATCTGTGAGGTTATTTTGAATTCTACCCATCACATTTTATTAATTCTAAGAATTTACTTTTAGGTAGCAGTTAATATTTCAAAAGTTTACAGTATACCAAATTCATCTCTAGTTTCCTCACATATTACTTGGTATTACTAGCCTCACTTACCTGACTGAGAAGTTATAAGTATTAAATAAGATGAAACATGTAAAGTACTTAGCACTGTGTCTGGCAGGTGATAACCGCTCAATAAATGACAGGGAGTCATGAAACATTATGCCTCGCAGCAGTATTACAGAACTGCCATTTTTGATCACGGAGAGTAAGAAAATACATATATCTTATTATTATCCTATTATGATTAGTTTTCTCAATTTCAAAGCTAGATTTTGAGGAAGGATTCATTCCTGCTACTGCTACTGGTGCCCCCATTCCTGCCTCTATTTAAAAGGGTGTCTCTCAAGTCTCTCAGATCAGGTAAGGATCTTAGCACAACTCATAGTGGGATTTCCCACAACCTCCCAAATGACCCAGAAAATACCAGGCTTCATACATGACTCCCCTCCTGTTTCTCTTACACTTCACCATCCCCCAAGAGGCTCCAGAAACATGACGTTCATATGTGCTCTCCCAACTACAACCTACTAGGTATCACACATACCTCTATCCCAGATGTCTAAATATTTTCTAATATTGATTTTGTTAGAGAACATGTTTTGCCCCTACCATTCTCCCCTACTCTTCATGCTCATAAACCTAGGAAAATGTTCTTATAAGAGAAGACAATTCCATCAAATCTATGTTTCTTATTTAATAGCTACCACCTGAGACAGGGAAAATGAAACCAAAGCAGGAGGGAAGACATATGTTGGCTTGATGTCGAAAAAAGTTGGTATTCTATACAATTAAAATTGAAGCAGAAATTACATTTTAACTGAATACAATATATCATCTTAGTTCAGAATTTTTATTAATAGTTTATGGGAAAATACTATAAAACTGTTTCACCAATACAAAACAAACCAGGATCTCTGCTATTAGTAGAGCTGAGATACAATGTGTCCTATCTTTAAGGTATGTGACTTAAGCTACATTAAAGTCAGATTTTTTCCAATATGAGAATAAATAAAAGGGATAGGATTATTGAAATCATCAACATAGATATAAGAACTTACAAAAATAAAACAAATACAACTACTGCACCAGGAGGACCCAATCCCTAAGATAGCCTCATATTCCAATTTGATGAAATATGAAAATTTTAATCATGTGAAGTTCAAGATAGCCTGAGACTTTAAGACAGGAGTGTCAATGAGTGGGGTCAATGTTTGATTTGCTCATTTATGCTGTAGCAACTTAGACCCTATTTGTAGATCCTTAATTACTTTATCTGTCTATCTATCTATCTATAGATAATTACCCTATCTATCTATCTATCTATCTATCTATCTATCTATCTATCCATCTATCTATCTATCTATCTGTGAAGAGAGACTAGATTACCAAAGTTAGGATGAATGCTAACGATTTCCAAGTAACATTGTTCTACATGGAACTTGAAGATGAAGAGAAACAGGAAAAATGAGTTAAATCTGCCCCTTTAAGAACTCACCTTACAGTATGTTATTCATTTCAATAATAAAACTCATCAGAATTTTTTCTCAAAAGTTTTTACTTTCTATACCCTATGTTCAGGCCCTAGTTTGAAAGTTATCACTCAAAGAACAGATACACAGTGTTGAGAAAGAGTGGTCCATTTCTACACAGGGACCAAACTAGTTGAAGTGCAGGGAACTGAACTTAATTTGTGTTTCACAGGCTGGGATTTCTCTTGGGCTTTCAGATTCCCTTGATGAACACAAAAACAATAGGAAGAGACCAATAAGAGGTTCTTCATCAGCATGCACGTAATTCCTTAGTGTTTCTTATTTGAACTCTCCTGAGAACAGCACATGCCTTCCTGTAACTAATATTTATACCTAAGAGGAAGGAAAGACTTATCCTTTTCCCTCACCAATGATTGAGAAACACTCACAACTGCTTGCTCTCAACTTAAAATTTTCCAGAATCCATAATGGTCCTCACCTGTTGGCACTCTCCAGCTCAGCATCACTCTCTCATTCATCATGTTTGAATAGTGGTTCAAAAGATCCAAATTCCCAAATATTTTTTTGTTGTTTAGACTTTCAGAATGACTTTTCCCAAAGAAATACCTAATCTAATTATTTCCTGATTGTATAAGTAATCATTAGATATTATTGCTGTCATAATTTTCATTGCTTTTACACACATGAGTAAATACATATTATTTTATAAGAGTATGATATAGAACCCTATCACATGTGTATGACAAGTGTATCTCCCTTTGTGAATTAGCTGTTCAGAACTTCATAACTTTATTATTTCTTTCTTTTAATAGTCTTTTCTTATTGATTTTTCTGAACCTTTAGGAAACAAAAACATTAATTCATTGTTTTATTATAAGGTAAAATGTACTTCAAATTTGTCTTTTTAAATATTTTTTCTATAAATGTTTTCCAGTGTTCTAGAATATTTAATCAATGGCTCATCAAGTCACCATGCGACCTGAACTGCCTGTTATAAACTGGGTGCTTTCTGACCCATATAGTCATAAAGTGGTTTGTGCACAGAGACATCCCATAAACAAATGGAAATGATATATACATGATCGGGCTCAAGCAGGTCTTGAAGGCACAAGCAAGTTACATGAAGCAGTAACTCAAGTGCCCATGGTCTCCACTCCTGCCACCCTGCCTTCTCTCCCCCAGCCTACACCAATGGCCTCATGGGGAGTTCCCTATGATCAGTTGACAGAGAAAGAAAAGACTAGGGCCTGGTTCACTGATGGTCCTGCACGATATGCAGGCATCACCTGAAAGTGGACAGCTGCAGCACTACAGCCTCTTTCTAGGACATCCATGAAGAACAGCAGTGAAGGGAAATGTTCCCAGTGGGCAGAACTTCAAGCAGTGGAGAAGGAGAAATGGCCAGATATGCAATTACATACTGATTCGTGGGCTGCAGCCAATGGTTTGGCTGGATGGTCAGGGACTTGGAGGAGGCATGAATGGAAAATTGGTGACAAAGAAGTTTGGAGAAGAGGTATGTGGATGGACCTCTCTGAGTGGTCAAAAAATGTGGGGATATTTGTATCCCATGTGAGTGCTCACCAATGGGTGATCTCAGCAGAGGTGGATTTTAATTATCAAGTGGATAGGATGACCTGTTCTGTGGACACCACTCACCCTCTTTCCCCAGGCACTCTGTCATCACCCAATGGGCCCATGAAAAAAGTGGCCATGGTGGCAGGGATGGAGGTTACGAATGGGCTTAACTACATGGACTTCCATTCGCCAAGGCTGACCTGGCTATGGCCACTGCTGAGTGCCCAATTTGCTGGCAGCAGAGACCAACCATGAGCCCTCAATATGGCACCATTCCTTGAGGTGATCAGCCAGCTACCTGGTGGAAGGTTGATTCAATTGAATTTCTTCCATAATGGAAAGGACAGAGGTTTGTCCTCACTGGAATAGACACTCCAGATATGGGTTTGCCTATCCTGCACGGAGTGCTTCTGCCAAGACTACCATCTGTGGACTCATGGAATGCCTAATCGACCATCATGGTATTCTACAGAGTATTGCCTCTGACCAAGGCACTCACTTTACGGCTAAAGAAGTACATCAATGGGCTTGTGATCATGGAATTCACTGGTCTTACCACGTTCCTCATCATTCTGAAGCAGCTGGATTGAAAGAAAGGTGGAATGGCCTTTTGGAAGTCACAATTATAACACCAACTAGGTGACAATACTTTGCCAGGCTGGGGCAGTAAGGTTATAAAGAAAATCAAGGGAAGGTTAACAGACATTTCAGGAACATTATCTCTGGTAGGGAGAGAAGAGGCTGTATGGGATAAAAGCACAAAAATAAATTCATTTAATGGTTTTGCAACATTTTATTATCAAATTGGATCCTGATTACACATTTTATTATTATATATGTATATATGTATGTATGAATATGTGGTTATGTATTCACATGTAAAAATTGTTTGCATATAACATATTTTGTATTTGGAAATTTGGACAAAAGCATTAATCAGTTAATATCACTGTGCTAGTGACTGTACTGACATATTCCAATAAAAACACATCTAGATCGGGAGATATAATATTAGTGGCTACCAAGTTAACTTACAATTCCCGGTCATTCTTCACCTATCAAACTGCTGAGTTAAAGGGAAATGTGATAAAAATTTACATCCTGAATCTTTTAAGACGTTGATAGTGGTATTAATCTCAGTGAGCTGCCCTAAAGGTGCAGTAGTTTTTATGACTCTTTTACTGGAAATTGGAATACCCAGGGGCTTCCATATGCCCCTCTCTATCGAAACAGCCCCTACTTATTTCCAGGTCAGGGAATCAACACAGAGATTCTCTCAGCTGCTAAGAACATCAATTCCAACTTCACACTCCTAAACTAGGAAATAAGGTCAGAGTAATTCGACATTCTACTAAGGTGGACTTGGTTCCAAACTCCATTCATTACCTCACAAAGATAGAGTTCAATAAATTTAAAATGGTCTGGATATTTTCCCTGACTATTTAATCCACGGAAGGGAGACAGGTCCATCCGAGGAAGGCCAGGAAGAATATTCATAGCACATGCTTGTGTTGTTACTGTAGAGAATACCTGCTCTGCTTTTAAATGACACTGACTCAGTAAACTGACTCAACCAGGGAACTGGTCAATGGCATTGACACTCATGGTGGCTTAATTTTGGCCTCTATTTATGAGATCTGATAGAATTTTATTATATTAAGCAAAAAGGAAGGGCTTTCAGGTTTGCCAAAATTCTTTGTTGGTTGATCCATTTAGACTACCACAGTGCTCTTATTGTTCACTCTAATAACTTTCTCCACTTCTCCTCTGGTAGTTTAGTCCCACTACTTATGATCCGTCAATCGTCGTAATGTTGAGAAGTTCATTTCAACTGCATCCGTCTACTAGTATCCTTGGCCCCTAATGTTTCCTTCCTCAATGTAATTTTTAGACACTTGGTAAAGGGAGTAAGTTTCTTGCTCTTTCAGGGAATATGGGTTACACACAAGTAGACAGGTGGCACTTGATAAATCTACTTCTATATATTTGGTTTACCAAGCCATTAGATTTCTGTTGCTGTACCTTAACTTTATTTAATGTAAGCTACTGTTGAGCCTAAGTGTCAATCAACCAATCAGTAAGTAAATAACATAAGACTACTATTATCTGAGCAAGCTGGTACATTGGATGCAGAACGTCTGGGAAACACACTCATGTTGAGAATGCATACAAATCTTCAATGGCACTCCTATGTTTGTTGCAGCACTGTTCACAATAGTCAAGATTTGGAAGCACCCTAAGTGCTCATCAACAGATGAGTGAATAGAGAAAATGTGGTACATATACACAAGGAAGTGGTATGTATTCAGCCATAAACAAGAATGAGATCCTGTGATTTGCAACAACATGGATGGAACTGGAGATCATTATGTCAAGTGAAATAAGCCACGCATGGAAAGACAAACATCACATGTTCTCATTTATTTTGGGGAGCTAAAAATCAAACCCATTAAACTCATGGACACAGAGAGTAGAAGGATGGTTACCAGAGTCTAGGAAGAGTAATGGGGGAATTGGGGAGGAAGTGTGGATGGTTAATGGGTACAAAAAATAGTTAGAAAGAAGGAATAAGACCTGCTACTTGAAAGCACAGTTGGGTGACTACAGTCAATAATAACTTAATTGTACATTACAAAATAACTTAAAGAGTGTAATTGGATTGTTTGTAACTCAGAGGATAAATGCTTTAGGGGATAGATAAAAAATGATGAAAAAAACTTTTTCAGAATTTATTTTCATCAGACAAAAATTAATGTGGGAAAGGGGGTGAACTAAGGAGGGAGGAAGGGCATCTGAGATGTGTGACTGAAGAAAGCTCTTTCTTGGAGCAGCATCTTGGATCTGGAAGCAAGATAGGAATAGCCTCATCAGACAGGGAAGTAGAGACCAATTTTTCTGGCTATGAAGATTCCATGTGCAGTTGGGAATCAGGGCACTGCATCATTCAAATCTTGCCACTAATCTCCTTTGCATTTTAGAGTCCTGTTCTTTTCAAATTATTTCCTAATTTTACATGAGAACCCTGGAAAAATAAATTCATCTGATATTATAATTAAGAATCTACATTCCAAAGATATGTGTTGGGCTGGGAGCGGTGGCTCATGCCTGTAATCCCAGCACTTTGGGAGGCCGAGGCGGGAGGATCACCAGGTCAAGAGATTGAGACCATCCTGGCCAACAGGGTGAAACCCTGTCTCCACTAAAAATACAAAAATCAGCTGGGCGTGGTGGTGCGTGCCTATAGTCCCAGCTACTTGGGAGGCTGCAGCAGGAGAATTGCTTGAACCTGGGAGGCAGAGGTTGCAGTGAGCTGAGATCATGCCACTGCACTCCAGCCTGGTGACAGAGTGAGACTCCATCTCAAAAAAAACCAAACCAAAACAAAACATATTGTTTTTGCTATTTCAGCCAGTGGCCACAACAAAATGAGACATTATTTTATCACAATCACTGAATGTCCCTGGGCTTCCGTATATCCTTTATCTGAAAATGGCAGATTTGAGACTCTCAGACCCTTCCTGTAAGCTGCTACTTGCATTAGAAATTGCCATCCCATTCCAAAATAACTTAAATTTTTTATGCCCTTCCTAGGTATAAGCAGAAAATAAATTTACTAATATGATATGTAAAATCACCAGGAGAGGTAGAGAACCAATGACCCCATTCCAACTGTTAGTGTCCCACCCTTTCACAGTAAATGTCTTAACTACCACAAAAGAAACGTAGTAAGTATGTGTATTTAACCTACATTGCAATTCATTAACTTAACTAGATTATCCCCAGTTCTATAAGAGATAGCAGATTCTGCTCAGACAGTTATAGAAATAATCTGGTTCTCTGTCCATGTATTAAGTTAGAAATTTGAAACCTGAGGACTGTGATTTTAAGGTCTTCATTACAGATAAGCAGTCAACACCCAACAGTCCTTGTTTTCCCATGTGTTCTTCTAAATGATCTATTACACCAGACATCCAGGCCAGAAAACCTTCCTAATGCAAATGTCTTCAAATCGGGCGACCACAATTAATACTTAACATTAACTCTTCTGACGGGCATCCAATGTCATCAGCTACCAATGGCCTTCCTCAATTTCTATTCAAATCCTCACTCACCACTTTCAAATCTACCCAAGTCAGTCAAACCTACATTATCATTCGTTCAAGGTTTTCTCACCCGATACCCCTTCTGGTTCAAAACACCCCACAGAGGATAACATGCATCTGGCTAGTGTCTCCACTCTCTGGACCTTGAAATGTCTTGTATGATTCTCCTCTGGCTCTTGTGACATTTTGACCCCCTGTTCTCACTGTCTCTTTTTTTGCTCACTGGCTACAATCTCCCTGCCTGTCCTGTGCTGTGACTTAGATAAAGATGGAGCAGTTCCCTTACCAAAAAATGAGACCAACTTTAGGGAAATTCATAGGTTACTTTTGATCTGCCACTACAGTTTTTTCCCACACATTGTGTACTCTCATGTACTAACTTTGTAGTGTCGTGATAATTCTCATATCTGCCCAATCCCCTTTTCTGTCAATCTATGAATATACCATTTGAGAGAAGCCTACGGGTATCATTTAGCCAGGTACCTACGGTCTTACCTGGCATAACCTCAACCTCAAATCATTTTTACTTCATTTTCAATTTCTCCTCTATCATCGTCTTCTTTTGGTAAGGTTTCCGGTGACCGTGAGTCTCAGTCTATAATTCTTAACCCATAACAAGATCTTCATGTACTCCCACAAACCCAATCAAAACCCTTTGTTTCTTCCGGAATATCTTACCCACTGGCCTGTTCATTAGCTCATTCTACTTCCAACTCTGAGGCCCACTGACCTGTTCATTCAATCATTTTCCTTCCAAATCTGAAGGTTTTTTTTACCCCAATCTCATAAGTCTCAGATGTCCTTCCCCTCTCTACCTAGTTCCCTTCTTTCCCTTTTCCTTTCCCCTTTTCCTTCCCCCTTTCTTTCCTTCCTTCCCTCCCTCCCTTCCTTCCTTTGTCCTTTCCTCCCTCCCTCTCTCCCTCCCTCCCTCCCTTCCTTCCTTCCCCCAGTTATTCTACCTAAAATATGCTTACTGATAGCTTATTATCATACGCTGCGCACCATGGCACATTATGTACTAAAACCATGCCTCACTCACAGATTTTATGCTGTAGTCCTAAGGCTTTTAGCACTAGACCTGGCTGCAAAGCTGACCTTTTGGAAAAAGATACCCTCCCCTTGTTTCACCCCTCCAACTACTCTACCCTTCACCTCCACGTGCCTCCCCACATTGCCCCAAAAGAGGAACTAACAAACATTTTTGTCAGTTGCAGGGTATTTGATTGATCCATTCATGGGAATTGTCAAGTTTATTGTTTTAAGCAAATGGATTAATTAAATATTTGATCCCAGTTGAGGGTGGTATCTTTACCTGTTTCTCCTTCTGCTTGGCCTGAGAGGGCAAGGGAACTGGATCTGCCCCCATTTGGATAAAACTGAGCCATTTATTTTTAATTTCCTTTTCTCCCATTTTTTCTCTTCTGCTTCAAAAGTAGATGATGATAGCTCCTTTTTGCAAGAAGTCTCCCCACCCTTTCCATGTCCTTATCCACATAGAAAATCAAATGGAAAACAAAAAGAGGTCTAGGGTAAAGAACAACCACTATGGCTTCCTACTGTAGATTAAAGGCCTTTCCTAACTTCCCAAGGTCAAGCATCCACATTGGAATTTGGAACCAAAGCTTCAGTTTGTAATCATGTATTCCTTTGTCTTGTATTTATCTATGTAAATATACACAGTATTCCCATTAGCGATGTCACAGAACAGGAGAACTCTCAGTGAGAAGGGACGATTAGGTGTTTGGAGTCTTAAGTCTCTTCCATCTTCCTTTCTAAATGTAGACTTCCCTATTAGCAGAACCCTAAATCTAATTTAAACTCAACATCATATTCGTGCAGTAGGAACATGTAGTAATACAAACTAAAATAGTTAATGCTGACCTTATATGATTTCTTAAGTGGGAAATGGCTTGTCCAAAAAACAGAGCAAGTGCAATGTTGTGTTTCATAATACGCTACTTAAACATCGCAAACCAGCAATGACTCAAAGTAAGCAATTAAAACGTATTCAGCACCAGACAAAAAGTATTTTAACAACTATTTACTGAGCTATAGTTTGCCTAGCACTAGTTCAGAACTATAAGCTCCTCTATTCTCAGAGTTGGGTAAATTGTACAATTCATTTATACAGACTCATATGAGATTTTATCCATTAACTAAGCTGTATGAGCTTTTATCTTTGGAAAAGTCCTTATTCGCTTTAGAACTCGGTTTTTTCATGTATAAAATGGAGATGCACTCTGGGTCATTTATCTAAAGCTCCAACCTAAGTGTGTTTGACTTTTGAGGATTGCTACATTTTTCATATTCCTTCTAGCTGAGTCTCCTGTTTGCATACTAAGTGATCTAAACAGTTCTGCCCAAAATAGTATTGCCTGTCCTAATGCAAAGTTCTAGTAATTTACTCCTTCTGAGTTAAATTCATAGGGTATGTTTAAAAGCAATTAACATATGGCATTTATTTAGTGCCTGTGGCTTTTAAATTATTTCAAATTGTATCCCCATGCTTTTATAAGTAAGTGAGTAAATCATCATTTTCTCTATAGTGAGAAAACTAAAACCCAGAGAAATGGAAGGGGCCTCCTGATTCCTGATCAAGTGCATGCTTTTAGCAGGATCCTATGCTACAGGGCCACCACTAGCAACTAAGCGAACTTCCTCGAGTGGTACTGGCTTTGCCGTTAACAAAGCCCACTGCAATTTATTTCCCTGTAAGTTAATTGCCCCTGAAGGGCAAAGCAGAAGTGATGTCAGCCCCCTGTCTCCCACCCTACAGGGACTAGAGGAAGAAAAAAGCTGCCTGCCAGAAAGTGAGACTGTAGGGGTCCAGGGCCTAGGAATGCCACTGCCAACAGCTTCGAATGGGCTACAAATGGGAAGGGGGAGCCCAGGGAAGCATACAGAAAGAGGGCAATGACATAAGCAAGAAGGGGCATGTCAAAGGCAAAGACAAGGAAACCTATTGAGTTCAAAAAGGAGCCTCCATGAAGAACAGTAAAGAGCATGGAGAAGCTGAGGGAAGCAGCAGATGATGGCCTCACAGTAGATTCCCAGCCAGGTAGCAGTCTCCGTTTGTTTTCCATTTGATTAAATGCATGTTAGAGATGCTGGGAACATGGAAGGCACATTAGATCCTCCTAATGGCATTATGCTTTACAAATACCTGGAGAGGGGTGAGTCTTTATATTCTGCTTACCAAAGGCCAGTCTCCCTCTTGGAGTTTCCTGAGACACATGTGTTTCAGGGTCTACCTCAAGCTTAGTTCAGTTCAAACAGGGTTTGAAATGGCCAAATGAAGCTAGTATATGGCTACTAATGTCCTTTTATTCCCAAGACTTCTTGTGAAAATTGCTTCTTTTCCCCTTACAGAGAAGAACATATCACATTGCTGATACTATAATGTGATATTAACTAAAATGTATACACCAAGTAACTGGAGTAGTTTTAGTTATTAATGGGTAAAGCAGGGTATTTTGCTCTCTCCAGGGATAAATAATATTATTTCTCTGTAGAGAAAATAAATTATAAAAGTGAACGAAAACTGAGATGTCAAAGTAGCTAGATGGCAAGGAAAAAAGTTATAGTACAGAAGAGAGTTGGGACTAGGAGAAATATTGATTTTTCTTTGTGTAAGAACAAAATTTAAAACAGGAATTGATATAGATGCAAAAGAGATTGATGTTTCTTTTTTGGTTAGAAATCTATACCTACCACACTCCCTCTTTTTTTTAAAATGAGAAACTGAGACTAGAAATTTTAAGAGATTTATCCAAAATAATATAGCTCATAAGTAGTGATGGTACTGAAATTCTTATGATTTTGAAAGTCAGAATACAAGATCTAACTGATATTCTTCTAGATTCAGCATCTAAATTAATAGACTGATCCAGGCAGAGGGAAATGCCTTCGCTCAATACTATTTTAGAATCTTTCTGTGAAAGGTATGCTACAAATGGGATGAAAAGAAAGATGAGACAAAGCCCCTGTAGGAGCTCACAGCCTAACGAAGAAATTAGACACAGGCACAGGGTAAATTTCAGCATGCTCATAGTAAGCCTATCATAGAAACATGACTGGAGTACTGTGGAGGCCGTGAAAAATGAGTGGTCATTTGGAGGAAAGAGAGCAAAGGCTTTACTGAGTAGATGACACCTGAATGGGATTTTGAAAGGTCAGTGGAAACTTTTCAGACATCAGAGGAGCAAAGCCATTCTAGATTAAAGGGGCTACTGTATAAGGAAACAGAAAATGTTTGGTTAAAGCACAGTTATGGGATGGAGTGCTGAGAGGAGGCTGGAGAAGTAGGTCAACACAACCACACCAGTCAATTTGCACTTTCCCCTTGGGCAATGTGGTACCATTAAAGGTTGGTAATCAAAGAATTGCCTAAGAAATCACTAAGAATTGCCCCAGAAGTTGTTTCAAAATAGATTTTATAGCTACCTTGGGAAAGATGATTTAGCTTCTATGCAGTTTAAACTCTTATTTAGGGGGACAAACGGTTTCGGTTTACCAGGGACTCTTTTAGGTTTAGCACAGAAAGTCCCAACCCTGGAAATTGCTCAGTCCTCAGCAAACTTAATTTTACTGAGAAGTGTAGTCTGTGTGGTGCTAAAGATTGAGAGGGTTTGATGAGGGATGCGAGGCAATCCATAGTGTAGAGGGGAGAGAAGTAGTCAGAGGGCAGGCAGCTGCAGTTGCAGCTGCCTCACCCACCACGAGCCCAGCTGGAGCCCTATTTCCTTCCACATCCTCTGAAGCCTTCTGAGAGATTCAGTGTTGTCCCTGAACCTTCTTGAAGGTGACACGCCATTTGGATATTTGCCTCCCATTTGTGAACAGACTATTGGAGTAAATACTGATAGAAGGGGCCGGGCGCAGTGGCTCGTGCCTATAATCCCAGCACTTTGGGAGGCCGAGGTGGGGCGATCACGAGGTCAATAGATCGAGACCATCCTGGCCAACATGGTTAAATCCCGTCTCTCCTAAAAGCACAAAAAATAGCTGGGCGTGGTGGCGCGGGCCTGTAATCCCAGCTACTTGGGAGGCTGACAGGAGAATCGCTTGAACCCGGGAGGTGGAGGTTGCAGTGAGCCGAGATTGTGCCACTGCACTCCAGCCTGGCAATAGAGCAAAACTCTGTCTCAAAAAAAAAAAAAAAAAAGTTGATGGAAGTAAAGTGACACTAGGAAGAACACCTCGCATTGCTCTCAGTTACTTTCCTGATTTCTCCCTGACATTTGGCGGGTCCCATTCACCAGTAATCCTGGGAGGAGAAGCCCTTTGTGAAGCTGCTCCAAATTTGCAGGGGTGTCATCGAGCACTGAACAACTCGCTAGAAACCATAGGTTCACTTCAGACCAGAGCCACACATGCAAAGATGGAATTTGTCTAACAATACGAGATTACAACATATATTTGATGAAAAATCATAGCTAATGTTGATTGAGTGCTACTGTAAATTGTGTGAATTAATTGAATCTTTACAACAATCCTATGAAGTAGACACTATTATTGTCCCCACTTATAATTGTAAAAACATATTAAAAATGTGATTACCAATGAGTATAAGTGAACTAGATCTTTGAACCCAGTAAGACTTCACAGGCTGTACTCATAAGATACAATATATAGCGCCCTACTGTATGGGTGTACAGATAGATGGATGAGTGGATAGACGGATGGATGGACAGATGGACGGATGGACAAATGGACTCTACTTTCCAGAAGTAGAGAGAAAAAAAGGCAACCCAGTGCCTTGGGGCTAAGATTTTGTATTGCTTCACTATTCTGAGAGATTTTAAATGACATGTAAATTTTTATATAGATTTTTTGAAAATAGATATTTTTAGCTAAAACTTCAGAGGTTCTGAATGTATTAGGTTCAGTGTGCAGGTCAGATAGTATATTTTTTTTAAAACCTGAAAATTTTTTCACTGGGCACACTTAGATAGGAAATATAATCACAACTCTGATGTTCCTAGAAAATCAATAAGATGCAAGCTAACTCTCTGGTATACATATCAGAGATCAAACTGAAGGAAAACAATGGAACAGATCTTCCTTTATCAATTAATTTAGCTTTTATATGATTATATTTCTTCTTCCTGATTGGAAAGGAAGATTACTTCTTCTGTGTATGGTCTTTCCTTCATTCTCCTAAATTATGTACACATCATCATTTACCTTTAACCTTGGAGAGAACAACTGCTCCCTGACACCAAGCAGAATCTCAGAATCAGGAGTTGAGGGGGAGTAAGGTGAGAGAATGATAAAGACCAGTAGCAAGAATGAGAGAGAGAAGAGAGAGAGAACGGATAGTTAGATAGATAGATAGATAGATAGATAGATAGATAGATAGATAGATAGATAGATAGAATAGATAGATAAGTATCCTTTTCTGTCCTTATTTGGGAGTGACACAGAATTGATGTGCTGAGCCTAGAAATGTTAGAGGGTGTTGAGCATCTCCTTCTGCTACTTCTTTTGACAGATGTGAACAGCAAGGAACTGCAAAGTGGAAACCAGACTTCTGTGTCTCACTTCATTTTGGTGGGCCTGCACCACCCACCACAGCTGGGAGCGCCACTCTTCTTAGCTTTCCTTGTCATCTATCTCCTCACTGTTTCTGGAAATGGGCTCATCATCCTCACTGTCTTAGTG
Organism: Homo sapiens; assembly: GCF_000001405.40. Lineage (NCBI taxonomy): Eukaryota > Metazoa > Chordata > Mammalia > Primates > Hominidae > Homo > Homo sapiens. The sequence goes on along the minus strand of NC_000011.10, from coordinate 123,994,945 downwards.
GACATCCGGCTCCATCGTCCCATGTGCTTGTTCCTGTGTCACCTCTCCTTCTTGGACATGACCATTTCTTGTGCTATTGTCCCCAAGATGCTGGCTGGCTTTCTCTTGGGTAGTAGGATTATCTCCTTTGGGGGCTGTGTAATCCAACTATTTTCTTTCCATTTCCTGGGCTGTACTGAGTGCTTCCTTTACACACTCATGGCTTATGACCGTTTCCTTGCCATTTGTAAGCCCTTACACTATGCTACCATCATGACCCACAGAGTCTGTAACTCCCTGGCTTTAGGCACCTGGCTGGGAGGGACTATCCATTCACTTTTCCAAACAAGTTTTGTATTCCGGCTGCCCTTCTGTGGCCCCAATCGGGTCGACTACATCTTCTGTGACATTCCTGCCATGCTGCGTCTAGCCTGCGCCGATACGGCCATCAACGAGCTGGTCACCTTTGCAGACATTGGCTTCCTGGCCCTCACCTGCTTCATGCTCATCCTCACTTCCTATGGCTATATTGTAGCTGCCATCCTGCGAATTCCGTCAGCAGATGGGCGCCGCAATGCCTTCTCCACTTGTGCTGCCCACCTCACTGTTGTCATTGTTTACTATGTGCCCTGCACCTTCATTTACCTGCGGCCTTGTTCACAGGAGCCCCTGGATGGGGTGGTAGCTGTCTTTTACACTGTCATCACTCCCTTGCTTAACTCCATCATCTACACACTGTGCAACAAAGAAATGAAGGCAGCATTACAGAGGCTAGGGGGCCACAAGGAAGTGCAGCCTCACTGACTTCATCCATCACAGACATGCAGGAAACCCTATAATGCAGGGCCCTGGATAGGACACCAAATAAGTGGAAATTTTAAAGCAGAAATAGAAAGAAAGATTCATGCATAGAATAGAGGACTCCTGGCTGGGAACCCGGAAAGTTCCACATTGTAACCTGTTCTCAAACGTGATTTTCCATATGTCTTTCTTCAGTGCCAATGAAAAGCAGTTAAGGCAACTCAGCAAGGGTGGCACCTTGTTAAAAAGACTCAAGATAAGAAAATGTCTGCATGAAACCTCTGCTTCTCTGAGGCATTCATCTACATGTCTATTATTGCTTCTAGTTCCTGCATTGATACCTGTTATCTCTTTCCAGGCTATAAATAACTTTCCTGCAAACCACCTGATTTGACCTCGACAATAATTATGTGAGGTAGGTATTATTATTTTCCCATGTAACTGCGGGGAAACTGAAGTTCAAGTAAAAGGCTTATCCAAACTTCCTTCTCTCTGCCTTTTACCTTGATGAAAATGGTAGGTCATGACCTTGGACTTAAACTTGAGGGGGCAATTTCATCTCAACGTGAGGGAGCCGGTTACGCATGCCCTGCACTAGGACCTGCGGAGGCCGAGTCGTCTGAGCTTGCACAGAGCTCCACTTTTGTAAGATTGACATGGGTATATCAAGGATAAGCTTTCCGGCTGCGCCACATAAACTGGGTCTCCCTGATGCTTCCATATCTGAGATAGTAGACAAATGCATATGCTACCACACTTCTGCATTTGTTACATAGCTTTTGAGTATGAGTGTGGGGCAGGTGGGATGAAGCATGTACCTGGCTGCAACAAGATGAGTCAATAGTGACCTGAAGCATGTCCTAGTCACCTATGTCTTATAACAGTCTTGTCAGTGTCTAAATGTGGGTCCTTCACCCTCAGGACCCCCTGGGTGCGACAGATGCGTTTGCTGATATTTCAAAAGTATGTGGGTAAATACAGTCCAAGAGGATCACTACATTCCCCCAAACTCAATTCCAATTGTAAAAACACTGGAATAATGGAGAATTGATTTCTGTGCACCAGAAGCTTTCTGAGAAAAATGTGTGTTGTCAGTGACTTTGCTTGTTTGAACAGCAGAGATGCAAGGTTAAACATCAAAATATGTATGAATAGGCAATCCAATTCAACGTGACACAATTTTTTTCAGTGTATCACCAAAACCATGACATTGTTGTCTATTCCAAATGGGTTTATGATCTTATAAAAAGAAAATGCATTTATATATGAGGCAGAGAGATAAAACATATGACCATAAAATAAATAAGAAATGACTGGTATAATTCCGTGTGCAATGAATATTATTCAGGAGAAGCACAGAGAGAGGGAGAGTATTTGGCCTGGAATTTAAAAAGCTAGCTTATTGAAAAATTTAAGATAATCTGTAGTTTGAAGGTCTTGTAAGATCTAGTCAGTGAGATGACAGTGATTTTTTCCTGTGATGAAAACAACATAAATCCTTGATATAATCCTAGGAGAATGCTCCAGAGAAGACTAATTAACTATCTTAGGAAGAGCAGCCCAAGACAGTTACAAACTCTATTTGGCAGACCTACAGAACTGCAGTGCAATGGGCACATAAACACTCCCTGGCACAAAGGGGGGCAGAAATTATGTAATCAGTCCTCTGATCCCAGAGAAGTGCCTACTTAGAAGTCAAATTCAGGCAAACACGAGGACTTCTTTTTCTCATCAGGGCCAATGACACATCACACAGACAGAAAAAGGTCACATAAAAAAAAATTAATTGGTTGTTTTGCTCTTAATAGAGAAATAAAAAATACATCTTACTATTTTATGTTAAGAAAACTACCACATAAAAACATCAAACAGCAAATTTTACTTTATACTGTATCCACACAGTCAATGAGCAGCAGGGCTAATATGTGAACTTATTTCTGTAAGCCCAGAATTTGAACTCTCCACTAGAAAGAGCCACATAGGATAGTATTTTTATGCAACTTCACTTCTTAAGAGGGTATTTTGATTTCAAGTTTGTTTTGAGGTTATCTAATATTGAGAATAAAAAATGAATAAATAAGACAGAAAAGGAAAAGTAGTGTTAGACTGTATGAATATTTCTCCATTCTTGAAAATAGAAGCTAAAAACGTACTACTGTTTAGAGTTTGAATATTAAGTATTCTTTGGTGTCTTTTTATTCTTTGGCTGTATATTTTAAAATTCAAATACATATGTTGACATATGTGCAGATATCATTATTATATATATGTTAGTACCAAACTTTAAAAATACCTGTGGCTTTAATATACTTTTAAACATCTAATAAGGTTATTTTCTCATTCATTTCTAATCAGGTTCAGATTATTTGGGGCCATTTCCTCATATCTGTTTTTTTAGATTAATTTCCAGATATTTTATCAAGTAGTAAACAAACAGAAACATTTCTGCCATCTTAACTGAACTCATATTGAAAATAGAAATCATTTTAATATATTTACCATTCACATTATATTCAGTCTTTTTTGTCTTACAAAGAGATATACCTACGCTTGTTCACGTCTTCCTGAATACACCTCACTAGAGTGTCTTATTTTTTATAAATACATTCCTTCCTGTCATGACCTGATAGCCATTCTAAGTTTGTATTTATCTGCTCAGATCATTTATGTGGTAATACGTAAAGTTTAATACTCAGCAAGAACCCTAATTATCCTTATTTCTAAATTCCTAGAAGGCATTTCAATTTGTCGGTATCTACTTAGTCTTTCCAGATTTACTTTCTTTGTCTGTAAAATGAAGTGAAGCAAGATGATCTCTAAGTTATTCTAGATTTTGATATTCAAAAGTCCTATAATTGTTCCAGTCCCACTGAGTTCATAAATGTTCATGATCTGTGCTTTTTGAAAGGAGTATACAGACGGTCTCCAACTTAGGATGGCTCAACTTAATGATTGTGCAAAAGCATTCTATTTTTCATATTCAGTATAGTATTCAATGAATTTAATGAGATATTCAAAATTTTATTATTAAATAGGCTTTCTTTCGGATGATTTGGCCCAACTGTAGGCTAATGGAAGTGTTCTGAGCACATTTAGGATGGGCTAAACTGCGCTATGATGTTTGGTAAGTTAGGTATATTCAATGCATTTTCATCTTATGATATTTTTGACTTAGGATGGGTTTATCAGGACATTAATTCCATTCTAAGTTGAGGAGCATGGAGAAAAACACTCCTAGGAAAGAGATAAGAAAAGAGGTGTCATAGCAAAGTCTCAATTTTTTTGTCAGGCTTGACAGTCACTAGCCAGATTTTTCTCACCTACCATTTTTATGCTATACGCAGGTGGTGAAATACAGTAAGCATGATTTGTTCAAAAAATTATTTCTATTTGAATTTATTTGGTATTTTGACTATTTCATTGAGCTTAAAGGATTAGGCTAAAAATAATTGGGGGAAGTTTAGTCATGTTGATTTAAATTGTATGAACAGTATATGTATAACAGTATATGGTATAAATTGTATATGAACAGTCCAATATTGGAATTGACTTTTCTGTGAAGTAGTGATATTCTCATATTGAAAGGGTCATGTAAAATTCAGCGGTTTGAGTAACTGACTTTTAAAAAATTAAGATTTTATGTTATTTCACATACTATCCAGGGTTAATAGCAACTATTAATAGGACACTCTTTATGCATTATTATTTTCATTTTAAAGGTGTGGAATTGATGTATTTAGCAAGAGGAGAAGAGGAAGTGAGCAATCTTCCAAATATCCTTCAACCAGTAGTTGACAGTGACAGGACAATAAACCCAAGTCCATCTAACTTCATAGTTCATGCCATTTTTTGGCTCTCTTTCAAAGATATTTATGGAAAACATTCTTCTTCTTAGGGAACTATATCACATACACATAGAAAAGTGTAGAAGTATGCTAAGAGAGTTTCTGAACAGGCTACATATCAAAACACACTGTTAAATGCCACTGAGTTTACAGGGGAACCAAAGCATTCTTAGGGTAGAAAGACAACATGGAGAGGATAGGCTTGATCTTAACCTCGAATAGTAGCTTAGATTCTTGCTACTCAAAGTGCAATTCATGGAACCACATAATGGAAATCTCTGGGCACTTATTAGAAAGACAGAAATCTCAGTCCCTACTCCAGACCTGTTGAATTAGGATTTGCAGCTTAACAAGAGTCCCAGGTGACTCATGTGCACACTAAAGTCCGAGAAGCTTTAGAGATGTTATCAGATAAAAATGAAGTTGATTTCTTCAAGGGGGGATTGGGTAGGGTGAGGAGAACAAGAGGAGATTAACAGTAAATTTAGGAGAGGTTGAGAAAATCTACTTGCATAAAGAAATGCTTATTGAACAGAGAAATGTACTTGAGTAGAGAAAAGTTGTAGGGGATAAGAATAAATGGATACCAATCACATTTTAGAAGTTTTGAGTTATAAATTGAGAATTTTGTGTTGCACAGTAAATCAGTATGTGAGATTGAGATTATTAGCATTTGTGGGAGGGGACCAGTGAGATAAACTCTTTTGAAATTTGATCAGTCAATGTTATGCAGGATGAAGTGATTCATTAAAGGGGAGAGGTGAGAGTTGAGAAGACCTTGCAGGAGATTATAATTATAATCCCTGAGACATAATGAAATGAGAGACTCATTATGAAATGAGTCTTTTATGACCATTACCCTCAGTCTCTCATTTCGTTATGAGAATGGCTTATGATGGGTTTCATCTCATTATGAAATGAGAAACTAAGGATAATGGTTATAAAAAATTAAATGCAGATACAAATAAGACTTACATTTCAAGAAAAAGGCTATTCATGTTTTTTAAAAAACAGAAAAATTCAAATGGAATTCTGATATCTAGCTTTACCCATTGAAGAGAATAGAAAGGGTGTGTGTAGTAAGACAAGTCCTTTTTTTTTATTTTTAAAAAATGTTTTATTAAAACTTTAAGCAACTTAATAATGTCAAGATTTTTAAAAAGTATACTCTAATCCCATTTCCTGATCATATCAATTTCTTACATTTCCCCAACTTTGGCTGAAATTTTAAGAATTGTGTTTTTTGGGGGGGGGTTGCATTCTTTTTATTATTATTATACTTTAAGTTTTAGGGTACATGTGCACATTGTGCAGGTTAGTTACATATATATACATGTGCCATGCTGGTGTGCTTCACCCATTAACTCGTCATCTAGCATTAGGTATATCTCCTAATGCTATCCCTCCCCCCTCCCCCCACCCCACAACAGTCCCGAGTGTGATGTTCCCCTTCCTGTGTCCATGTGCTCTCATTGTTCAATTCCCACCTGTGAGTGAGAATATGTGGTGTTTGGTTTTTTGTTCTTGCGATAATTTACTGAGAATGATGATTTCCAATTTCATCCATGTCCCTACAAAGGACATGAACTCATCATTTTGTATGGCTGCATAGTATTCCATGGTGTATATGTGCCACATTTTCTTAATCCAGTCTATCATTGTTGGACATTTGGGTTGGTTCCAAGTCTTTGCTATTGTGAATAATGCCGCAATAAACATACGTGTGCGTGTGTCTTTATAGCAGCATGATTTATAGTCCTTTGGGTATATACCCAGTAATGGGATGGCTGGGTCAAATGGTATTTCTAGTTCTAGATCCCTGAGGAATTGCCACACTGACTTCCACAATGGTTGAACTAGTTTACAGTCCCACCAACAGTGTAAAAGTGTTCCTATTTCTCCACATCCTCTCCAGCACCTGTGGTTTCCTGGCTTTTTAATGATTGCCATTCTAACTGGTGTGAGATGGTATTTCACTGTGGTTTTGATTTGCATTTCTCCGATGGCCAGTGATGGTGAGGATTTTTTCATGTGTTTTTTGGCTGCATAAATGTCTTCTTTTGAGAAGTGTCTGTTCATGTCCTTCGCCCACTTTTTGATGGGGTTGTTTTTTTCTTGTAAATTTGTTTGAGTTCATTGTAGATTCTGGATATTAGCCCTTTGTCAGATGAGTAGGTTGCGAAAATTTTCTCCCATTTTGTAGGGTGCCTGTTCACTCTGATGGTAGTTTCTTTTGCTGTGCAGAAGCTCTTTAGTTTAATTAGATCCCATTTGTCAATTTTGGCTTTTGTTGCCTAAAAATTTAGAGATGAAATCCAGAGAATACTACAAACCACAGAAATTGCCTTGATTATTAACTGAACACACAATTCCAAGCTTTGAAAGAGTTTCAGATTCCAAGACTCACTCTGGGTGTGTGGCAGGTGGGATTCCTGTACTCTTATCGATGTAATGAAATTCAGACTCCAGGCAAAAGTTCACAGGTATTGGATGAAATTTCCCATGCCTCCTGGAAATAAGGCACTGCTCATCTCCATCTGTAGCTCTACTAAAGAATCCAACAAAAGCAGGAATAGAAAAAGATTGGAAGAAATCCACTTTTATAAGACTTTTTTTATTATTATTATACTTTAAGTTTTAGGGTACATGTGCACATTGTGCAGGTTAGTTACATATGTATACATGTGCCATGCTGGTGCACTGCACCCACTAACTCGTCATCTAGCATTAGGTATATCTCCCAATGCTATCCCTCCCCCCTCCCCACAACAGTCCCCAGAGTGTGATATTCCCCTTCCTGTGTCCATGTGATCTCATTGTTCAATTCCCACCTATGAGTGAGAATATGCGGTGTCTGGTTTTTTGCTCTTGCGATAGTTTACTGAGAATGATGATTTCCAATTTCACCCATGTCCCTACAAAGGACATGAACTCATCATTTTTTATGGCTGCATAGTATTCCATGGTGTATATGTGCCACATTTTCTTAAGGAAGTGGATTTTCCAGGCCCTTTTGGAGACTATGTATTTATTTGAATAGGAGATTAGTACTAACATCATCTGGCTATAATTTGTGTGCTTAATGCAATTAACAATTCTTCTACTGAGAGATTCAAAGAAAAAGCAGACAATAGTAACAATATAGGATCTTCAGAGTAATATTATATGTCTTTATATGTACCATGGTGACATTGCACTTAGAGGAAAAAATATGTTAAGTCAAAGGAATAAATTCAGTTAAGTAAAAAGGGGAGTAACTAACCATCTACTATGAATGAAAATAAGGTAATGAGGACGAATGGCCCAACTCCAATACCCACACCTAGTGTCACTGTGACTGAGCATCTCTCATCCTAATAACTATGGGCTGAGAACCTTACCCATTTTTCCCTGTTTCTCTTTCTGTATCACTGTGATGTAGGTAGCATTTGTTTAGTCTTTACTAAACTATTTTTATTTACTATCTAAATTATTAAAAAAAAACATTCCTAAGCCCTGCAGGAAATATAAATATAACCCAATGGAGGATAAAGCACTAATAAAAAACAATTGATTATTTACAAGGGAAGAAAGTGCTATGCTCGGATAACAGAGAGGATGCTAACCTGTCTTGAAAAGTTTAGATTATGCCTTGGACAGTGGAATCTCCAACTTTTAAGTGGAAAATGAAAAATGGTCAATGTGAAAGAATCATATGGGAAAAGTTTAGAGAAGGATGGTGACAGATGTCAATGTGACCAACTAATAGAAATTAAAATAAGCCAAATGTAAGAGTTTAAGTTATTAAGTATAGTGATTGTAGAAAAATAGAATTATAGACATTAGAACTATTTCAAAGGAGGGCATGAAATAATAGAATATTAGCTATGCAATAATAAAAGCTACCAATTAATTAGTAAATTACTCAACAATTACTATTTTATATACACACACACTATATAGATATAGTTCTTGTTAAAATGTTAAACTTGATTATTTTAAAATCACTTACACATGAGGAAACTGAGGCTCAGAAATTTCAAGGGAGCTTATCAAGCTACTAAGCTCGTATGAGAGCCAGATTTAATTGTAGATCTACCTCTGTCCAGACCTTTCTGTTGATATCATTTCACTACATCATATAGTGAAATACATGTATATTTTCATATCATATCATTTCACTATATCATAGTGTCTTAAAGATCATGAAATGTACAATCTCTTCATTACATGGGATACTAACTTAATCAGAGGAATCCAAGTTGTGTTTTCTATTTTTTAAACAGATTTTTTTTAGATAAAAGCTAAACATTTTATTTATACATTTCAGTAATTTTAAACAAGTTTATACCAGTTGTGAAAACATCTCCACAATCTAATTTTAGAAGATTTCTATCACCTTGTGCTTATTTGCTGTCAGTTTCCATTCCCACCCATAGGATCAGGCATCCACTCATGTATTTTCTGGATTTATCCATTTCATATACATGTAATCATAAACCACGTGAGATTTTTGTGTCTGACTTCTTTCACTTGGCATGTTTTTGAGGTTCACCCACATTGTAGCATATACTTCATTCTTTTTTACAGCTTCATAGTACTCCATAATATGCACATACTACATTTTGTTTATCCATTCACCAGTTGATATACATTTGGGTTGTTTCTACCTTTTGGCTATTACTAATAATGCTACTATAAATGTTTGTATTCAAATCTTCTTTTTGATTTAATTAAAATTTTTTTTTTAATAGAGACAAGGTGTCACTATGTTGCCAAGGCTGATCTCAAACTGCTGACCTCAAGCAATTCTCTAGTCTCAGCCTCCCAAAATGCTGGGATTACAGGCAAGAGCCACTGCACCCAGCCCCCATATCCAAGTTTCCTGTGAATATATGTTTTCCATTCTATTCAGTAGACTTAGGAGTGAAACTGCTTCTGTGTCATATGGTAACTCTTTGTTTACCATTTGGAAGAACTGCTGAGGGTGGGGCCAAGATGGCCAACTAGAAGCAGTAGAAATCAGAGGATCCCATCAAAAAGATCCAAAACAGTATGCGAACCCTGCACTGCCAACCGAGGTATCCCAGTTCTGTCATAAGGGCTGACTGGGTGGCTGACGTGACCCATGGAGAGGAAGGAAGAGCAGTGTGATGCAGCAGCCCACATGAGAGCCACACAAGGCAGGGGAGCCCCAACCCCTAGCCAAGGGAGGCAGTGAGTGAGCGTGCCACCCAACCTGGGAAACCATGCTTTTTCCATGGAACTGTGCAACTCATGGATTGGAAGATCCCACTCAGGACCCCACGCCACTGGAGTCTTGGGCCTCAACCACGGAGCTGTGCAGATTCTCAACACCCACTTGACTAGAATCTGCCTAAGCCTGCTGAGTTCCTGGGGGGAGGGGCGGTCATAACCACTGCTGTGGCTGCCTGCAGTCTAAGCCATCTGAGCTCCTTGGAAGAGGGATGGCAGCCAATATTGTGGCTGCAGGGCCTCCCTGAGGGGCTCCAACTCCAGCCAGGGAAATATTCTAATCTCCCTGGGCCTGAGCCCCTAGGGGAAGGGGTAGCCATAGTCTCCATGGACCAGCAGACTTAGTCCTTCCTCCTGCTAGCTCTGAGGAATCCAGGTAGCCTAGACAAGTGAGTTTCCCCCCAGCAAAGCACACCTCCTCCACGAAGGGACAGCCAAAGTGCCTCATTAAATGGGTCCTGCTATCCGTGCCACCCAACAGGTAAGACACCAACAGAGGTTGTCAGACACTCTATACAGGAGCATTCCTACTGGCATCAGATCAGTGCCCCTAAAGGTCAGAGATCCCAGAGGAAGGAGGAGGCATCCATCTTTGCTGTCCTTCAGCCTCCTCAAGTGACATCTCCAGGTGCGAGAGTGAACCAGATGAACAGGGCCTGAAGTGAATCCCCAGCAAACCGCAGCATCCCTATAGAAGAGGGATCTGATTATTCAAAGAGAAACAAACAGAAAGCAACAAAAACAGCATCAATAACAACAAAAAAGTCCTCACAAAAACCTCATCCAAGGGTCAGCAGCCTCAAAAATCAAAACTAGACAAACTCATGAAGATGAGAAAGAATTAGCAAAAAAAAGAAGAAAACCCAAAAGGCCAGAATGCCTCTTCTCCTCAAAATGATCACAACCCCTCTCCAGCAAGGGTGCAGAACTGGATGGAGGATGAGATGGATGATTTGACAGAAGCAAGCTTCAGTAGATGGGTAATAACAAACTTCACTGAGGTAAAGGAGCATGTTCTAACCCAATGCAAAGAAGCTAAGAACCTTGAAAAAGAGGAGCTGCTAACTAGAATAATCAGTTTAGAGAGGAAAGTAAACAACCTGATGGAGCTGAAAAACACAGCACGAGAACTTCGTGAAGCATACACAAGTATCAATAGCCAAATGGATTACGCAGAAGAAAGAATATCAGAGATGGAAGACTATCTTGCTGAAATAAGGCAGACAGACAAGATTAGAGAAAAAAGAATGAAAAAGCACAAACAAAACCTCTAAGAAATATGGGACTATGTAAAAAGACCGAATCTATGACTGATTGGAATACCTGAAAGAGACGAGTAGAATGGAACCAAGTTGGAAAACGCACTTCAAGATATAATCCAGGAGAACTTACTCAACCATGCAAGACAGTCCAACATTCAAACTCAGAAAATACAGAGAACCCCACTAAGATACTCCATGAGAAGATCAACCCCAAGACACATGATCATAAGATTCTCCAAGGTCAAAATGAAGGAAAAAATGCTAAGGGCTGCCAGAGAGAAAGGCCATGTCACCTACAAAGGCAAGCCCAATAGACTAAGAGTGGATCTCTCAGCAGAAACCCTACAAGCCAGAAGAGAGTGGGGTCCAATATTCACAATTCTTAAAGGAAAGAATTTTCAACCCAGGATTTCATATCCATCCAAACTAAGCTTCATAAGCGAAGGAGATATAAAATCCTTTTAGACAAGCAAATGCTGGGAAAATTCATCACCACCAGGCCTGCCTTGCAAGAGCTCCTGAAGGAAGTACTATATATGGAAAGGAAAAACCAGTGCTAGCCACTGCAAAACACATGAAAATATAAAGACCAATGACACTATGAAGAAACTGCATCAAATAGTGTGCAAAATAACTAGCTAGCATCATGATGACTAGATCAAATTCACACATAACAACATTAGCATTAAATATGAATGGGCTAAATGCCCCAATGAAAAGACACCAAATGGCAAACTGGATAAAGAGTTAAGACCACCAGTGCACTGTATTCAAGAGACCCATCTCACGTGCAAAGACACACATAGGTTCAAAATAAAGGGATGAAGGAAAATTTACCAAGCAAGTGGAAAGCAGAAAAAAGCAGGGGTTGCAATCCTAGTCTCTGACAAAACAGCCTTCAAACCACGAAAGACCAAAAAAGACAAAGAAGGGCATTATATAATTGTAAAGAGATCAATTCAACAAGAAGACCTAACTATCTTAAATATATGTGCACCCAATACAGGAGCACTTAGAATTATAAAACAAGTTCTTAGAGACTTACAAAGAGACTTAAACTCCCACACAATAATAGTGGGAGATTTTAACATGCCACTGTCAATATTAGACAAATCAACGAGACAGACAATTAACAAGGATATTCAGGATTTGAACTAAGCTCTGGATCAAGTGGACCTAATAGATATCTACAGAACTCTCCACCCAAAAACAACAGAATATACATTCTTCTCAGTGTCACATGATACTTTAAAATCGACCACATAATTGGAAGTAAAACACTCCTCAGCAACTGCAAAAGAATGGAAATCATAACAAACAGTCTCTCAGACCACAGTGTGATCGAATTAGATAGAACTCAGGATTAAGAAACTCACTCAAAACCACACAGCTTCATGGAAATTGAACAACCTGCTTCTGAATGACTTCTGGGTAAATAACAAAATTAAGGCAGAAATAAATAAGTTATTTGAAACCAATGAGAACAAAAAGACAACATACCAGAATCTCTGGGAAGCAGCTAAAGCAGTGTTAAGAGGGAAATTTATAGCACTAAATGCCCATATTAGAAAGCTAGAAAGATCTCAAATTAATACCCTAACATCAAAATTAAAAGAACTAGATAAGCAAGAGCAAAGCAATCCAAAAGCTAGTAGAAGACAAGAAATAACTAAGATCAGAGTGGAACTGAAGGAGACAGAGACATGAAAAACCCTTCAAAAAAAATCAATGAATCCAGGAGCTGGTTTTTTGAAAAAAAAAAAAAAAAATAAAATACACCACTAGCTAGACTAATGAAGAAAAGGGAGAAGAATCAAATAGACACAATAAAAAATGATAAAGGAGAAATCCCCACTGACCCCACAGAAACACAAACTACAATCAGAGAACACTATAAACACCTCATTGCACATAAACTAGAAAAGCTGGAAGAAATGGAAAAATTCCTGGACACATACACCCTCCCAAAACTAAATCAGGAAGAAGTTGAATCCCTGAATAGACCAATAACAAGTTCTGAAATTGAAGCACTAATAAATAGCCTACAAACCAAAAAAAGCCCAGGACCAGATGGTTTCACAGCCAAATTCTACCAGAGGTACAAAGAGGAGCTGGTATCATTCCTTCTGAAATTATTCCAAACAACTGAGAAGGAGGCCCTCCTCCCTAAATCATTTTATGAGGCTAGCATCATCCTGATACCAAAATCTGGCAGAGACAAAACAACAACAACAAAAAGAAAACTTTAGGCCAATATCCCTGATGAATATCAATGTGAAAATCCTCAGCAAAAATACTGGCAAACTGAATCCAGCAGCACATCAAAAAGCTTATCCATCACTATCATGTCAGCTTCATCCCTGAGATGCAAGGCTGGTTCAACGTGTGCAACTGTAATCCATCACATAAACAGAACCAATGACATAAACCACATTATTATCTCAACAGATGCAGAAAAGGACCTTGATAAAATTCAACATTCCTTCCTGCTAAAAACTCTCAATAAACTAGGTATTAATGGAACATATCTCAAAATAATAAAAGATGTCTATGAAAAACCCACGACCTATATCATACTGAATGGGGAAAAGCTGCAAGCATTCCCTTTACAAAAACAGCACACGACAAAGATGCCTTTTGTCATCACTCCTATTGAACATGGTTTTGAATGGAAGTTCTGGCCAGGGCAATCAGGCAAGAGAAAGAAATAAAGGGTATTTAAATAGGAAGAGAGGAAGTCAAATTGACTCTGTTTGCAGATGAGATAATCCTATATTTAGAAAACCCTATCGTCTCAGCCCCAAAACTCCTTAAGCTGACAGGCTACTTTAGCAAAGGCTCAGGATACAAAATCAATGTGCACAAATCACAAGCCTTCCTGTATACCAACAATAGACAAGCAGAGAGCCAAATCATGAATGAACTCCCATTCACGATTGCTACAAAGAGAATAAAATACCTAGGAATACAGCTAACGAGGGATGTGAAGGACCTCTTCAAGGAGAACTATAAACCACTGCTCAAGGAAATGAGAAAACACAAACAAATGGAAAAACATTTCACCCTCATGGACAGGATGAATCAATATTGTGAAAGTGGCCATACTGCCAAAGTAATTTATGGATTCAATGCTATTCCCATCAAACTGCTTTCTTCACAGAAATTAGAAAGTCTACTTTAAATTGCATATGGAACCAAAAAGAGTCCACATAGCCAAGACAGTCCTAAGCAAAAAGAACAAAGCTGGAGGCATCACACTACCTGACTTAAAACTATACTATAAGGCTTCAGTAAACAAACACAGCATGGTACTGGTACCAAAACAAACATATAGACCAATGGAACAGAATAGAGACCTCAGAAATAAGACCACACGTCTTCCACCATCGGATCTTCAACAAACCCGACAAAAACAAGCAGTGGGGAAAATATTCCCTATTTCATAAATGGTGCTGGGAAAACTGGCTAGCCACATGCAGAAAACAGAAACTGGACCCCTTCCTTACACTTTATACAAAAATTAACTCAAGATGGATTAAAGACTTAAATGTGAAACCCAAAACCACAGAAACCCTCGAAGAAAACCTAGGCAATAACATTCAGCTAGCTCCCTGCTGCCCTGTCTCCCTCTGGACTTTGGGTGCCAAGGAGCACAGGAGGGAAGCCAAGGGGCTGAGGGTGGCTCAGTGCCAGCCTGCAGGCACCCCTTGGCCTGGACAGCCTGTGTATCACGGATGGCAGGAGGCAGACATGTTCCTAGGTGGGAGGGGTGGGTCCCCAGTGAAACCCCACCTTCATGCCAGGGACAGCCTGGAGCCTGGGGTCTGGGGTGCCAGTTCTGGGTAAAGTCCACAACCCAGAGTGAGAACTTCATTGACGCCTTTTGGCCAATTGGATGACGCTTTTTCCAGACCCACCTATAGCCACCCATGGACCAATCAGCATGCACTTCCTCCATTCTAAGCACATAAAAGCCTCAGATGCAGCCAAACTCACTCACTGGGGGGACCTGCCTGCAGAAAGGAGCTACTGACTTCAGGTCTCCTGAGAGCTGTTTTCTTGCTTAATAAAGCTCCTCTGCACCTTGCTCACCCTCTAGTTGTCCTCTAGTATCCTCATTCTTCCTGGACGCAGGATGAGAACTTGGGACCCACCGAACAGGGGGAGCTAAAGGTGCTGTAACATGTTCCTGGCTCATTTGCCAAGCTGTGGGTGGTGACATGCTCCCGGACTATGGGAGTAAAAAGTGGTGACCCTCCTGGTGGCCCAGACCTCGGGACTCCCCAAGCCAGAGCTGCTGTAACACTATAGCCCTCCCACCCTCTGCCAGTGCTGGGTGGCCACCCAATGGGACAGGAAGCAGAGGTGGGCCAGGCCAGCCCAGGAGCTGCAGGTCAGAGTGGGGTGGTGGGACTGAAAGGGCTGTAACACAAACAGACTGAAACAC
Organism: Homo sapiens; assembly: GCF_000001405.40. Classification (NCBI taxonomy): domain Eukaryota; kingdom Metazoa; phylum Chordata; class Mammalia; order Primates; family Hominidae; genus Homo; species Homo sapiens. The sequence goes on along the minus strand of NC_000011.10, from coordinate 123,979,376 downwards.
AAACCCCCAAACTCACCCCCTCATTGGCTGCATTGTGGGTGACGAGAAGGAAAGAAGAGCTTCTTGGAGCCCAGACCTCAGGACTCCCTGAGCCAGGGCTGTGACAGGCTGTAATACCCTCTTTGGGCTCTGCAGTTCCTGGCATCTCTGAGCTTTTGGGTGCCCCCATATTCCCCTCGTCCAGATGCTGGTGCCCATAATGGAAACCACTTGCAGTATGCCTGGTCCAGCTATAGCCTCACATGAAGCTGGTGCCTCTGCTGGCACCTGGAGCTGCCCATCCCACCACAGCAGCAAGTGTGCCTGGCTGTGTGCAGTGGCCAGACCCCTGTGCTTGCTCACTCACACACCTCTCGCCTCTCCCACCCTTGGCAAGCATGGAATCCAGGCTGGTAGCACGAGCCAAGTGCAGCCTGCCAGGCCAAGTGGGTGAAAAGAACCCAGCAGCCATGAGCAAACTCAAGCAGAGGAACCACCAGCCACAGAGGTTTCTGTCTGGAAAAGTGACATCCTAAGGATCCTGTGACAAGATCAGAGAGAGATTATGGCAAATTGAGGAGATGAGGCAAATAGCATCCCTGGATAACAGGAGTTTCTTAGGGGATTGCAGAAGATAAAGATTTTTTTCATGATAATGGAAATAGTTTACAGATAATTCTGAATGTAGGACAGAGATACACTTTATATCTCAGGCACTAAGGAACAGTAAGAAAAGATATATTCGAATTTTTTTAAGAAAACTGGCACAAAAAAGTTGAATACTGAATCATTTGGTATATCAGGGAGTAAGGAAGAGATGGGACATAAAATACCATTGTGAAAATCTAGGTGTAAAATATGAAGAGGTGGGTTTAGGTAAAATCCACAGGAATTGAAGAGACAACACGGAAAAAAAGCAGTTTAAGGAAATTTTTCACCTAATGCAACATCTGTTAGGCTAACGAGGTGAAAGATGGAAGAATCAAAGAGAACTCTTTAAATCTCAATTACAGTCCAGTGGAAAGGCTCAACAAGAAAGGAAAAGGCAAACAATTCCCCAAATTTTGAAACAGAGCTTTACAGGAAGAACACAAAGTGTATAGAAAAAATTGTCCTGATAATTATTCAGTCTATTCTCCAAGCCTCAATTGTTACACACTTGAGGATTGTGGGTAACTGAAATTCCAAAGAACTCCTCTGGTTGAGTAATGGGTGGGGCTGCTGTGTTTCTGGCTGATGTAATAGCACCAAAACTCCAGGCAAGTCTCACCTGAAAATAGGATGCATCTCCCTGATGACACAGCAATAAGAACCTGCCTTTCTACATCTACAGCATGGCAGGGTACATAGAGTAGGAGGGCAGAGGCATCACAATTCTGGAATATTTGCAAAAAATACTCATTGAGAGTAGGATTTATAATCCATATTTTTATTGTCATTATTTAGGGAGTGCATTTCTGCAAATAATTCTTACAGTCCTTTATATACCTCACCAAAACTGCAGATTTTGTATTGAAAGATTCATTATGAAGAAATAAACAGCAAGGAAGCACTAGACTAGAGCAGAACAAAACTGTAAGATGAACTTGTACATCTTTCTCTTGCTTACTGGGTAAGACCAAGGTGGTGTGGCTTGATGGATAATGACATCTCAGGAAAGGGATACAGCTATTTATTCCATTAATGTCAGTTTTGTTGCAAAGGGGATGACTAGCCGCTCTGTGTGTGAGAAGATGACCATGACAACGGAGAACCCCAACCAGACTGTGGTGAGCCACTTCTTCCTGGAGGGTTTGAGGTACACCGCTAAACATTCTAGCCTCTTCTTCCTCCTCTTCCTCCTCATCTACAGCATCACTGTGGCTGGGAATCTCCTCATCCTCCTAACTGTGGGCTCTGACTCTCACCTCAGCTTACCCATGTACCACTTCCTGGGGCACCTCTCCTTCCTGGATGCCTGTTTGTCTACAGTGACAGTGCCCAAGGTCATGGCAGGCCTGCTGACTCTGGATGGGAAGGTGATCTCCTTTGAGGGCTGTGCCGTACAGCTTTATTGCTTCCACTTTCTGGCCAGCACTGAGTGCTTCCTGTACACAGTCATGGCCTATGACCGCTATCTGGCTATCTGTCAACCCCTGCACTACCCAGTGGCCATGAACAGAAGGATGTGTGCAGAAATGGCTGGAATCACCTGGGCCATAGGTGCCACGCACGCTGCAATCCACACCTCCCTCACCTTCCGCCTGCTCTACTGTGGGCCTTGCCACATTGCCTACTTCTTCTGCGACATACCCCCTGTCCTAAAGCTCGCCTGTACAGACACCACCATTAATGAGCTAGTCATGCTTGCCAGCATTGGCATCGTGGCTGCAGGCTGCCTCATCCTCATCGTTATTTCCTACATCTTCATCGTGGCAGCTGTGTTGCGCATCCGCACAGCCCAGGGCCGGCAGCGGGCCTTCTCCCCCTGCACTGCCCAGCTCACTGGGGTGCTCCTGTACTACGTGCCACCTGTCTGTATCTACCTGCAGCCTCGCTCCAGTGAGGCAGGAGCTGGGGCCCCTGCTGTCTTCTACACAATCGTAACTCCAATGCTCAACCCATTCATTTACACTTTGCGGAACAAGGAGGTGAAGCATGCTCTGCAAAGGCTTTTGTGCAGCAGCTTCCGAGAGTCTACAGCAGGCAGCCCACCCCCATAGTCTGTGCTATCAAAACTCACAATTTGCCTGCCAGGAAAGCAACTATTCACATCTCAAATCATTCAGGTGGAAATCAGAATAACTGAGTTGCAACTCAGTCACACACTTTCCCCCAGCTTTGGCCAAATGGTCTACCTCACTCTCTCCCTTGCAAACACTTCATCTAGAAAATGAGGAGGCTGGATTAGATGATGTCTAGAGTCTCTCCAAAATCTATGTTCTATGGTTCAGAGGTATGTGAAATGCTATTCGTATCCTCATTTGTATTAGTAAATGATTGTTTTACTTTTTATGAAATAACTTTATTAAATACATACAGAATACTGTAAACAAAAATATAAAAGGCAATGAAAAAACCTTTGTATACATATTTCCCAGCTTAGAAACCACATTTTTTAAAATGATAAAATACAAGGAGAAAAGTGATTGTCCAAGGTGACTTAGAAAGTCACATTTTCTTTATTCTCCCACTCATGGTAGTATATACTTTAGGCCACATTGAGAGATAGAAATAACATGGGTTTTGGTGTCAATTGAACCTACCAGTATTCTAATACTGATCCAACCAGGTCTAGTTGTAGAATTTTGTACAGATGTCATAATTGCAGTTTTAGTCTCCACTTTTAAGAGTAAGATTTAAAATAATTGCTTTGTAGGATATTATGAGGTCTAAATAAAATAGTTATATTAAGTGTCATGTAAAATAGGCGCTCATGTTTCTTACCAAGCTGGTTGAAGAAATCAAAGAGAGCTTATGATACAAGCTAAGGTTCAAATTGTTTCTGAAAGATTAGCAAGGTTTTAATATCTTCATTGAGTTTATAGGGCAACTACAAAAGAAAGGGCATTTCTAGACTTCAAAATTATAAAAGATAACTCAAGGTTTTAGTTAAACCAGCTTACCATACAAGAGGAAGGAGTTGTGTTGTATTCACCTAACCTATTCTATAAGATGAAAATGTCCTTGAATGCCAACCTAAAGAATTCAGATTATGCCCTAGGCATCCTACCTGTTTACTTTTCCTCCTCCTTGTCATCTATAGAAATACCTTTATCCTGAGAAGCCACTTCTTTAAATGCTAAACCATGAGATAAATTAGAAAAGAGAGACAAAAAAAGGAGAAATGGTAGAATGGCCAGTTAATAAACTATTATAACATCAGAGACATAAGATAATAAAAGTATTGCTAAACCTAGATGAAGAGACACTTTATAGAATTAGATCAGAAGTGTTTTGAAGAGAAAAAATTATAAGACTATTAGAATGGGAATCATAATTATAATCATTTTTGACATATGTATGTACAAGGCACTGTACTAGTTGCTTGGTCTGCATTAATCCTCCTAAGAAATATATTTTGCAGCAATATTTTTATTGTTATTAATGATATACAGATAAAGTAAGATAAAATAACTTTTACCAGGCCATGCCAACCATAATAGTTAAAGCCAGGATTTCAACTCAAATCTGTATGTCTTCAAAGACTACACATTTCAATTAGACAATAGTACTTTAGAGATAATCAAATCCCACCCCATTTTTTACCCAATATATTAGAGGTCTCAAAATCCTTTTAGTCTTTTAATAAACAGAGGCACTTTTTGAGATAAGGATTCCTTGGCCTTTGAATAGTGCCTATTCCACTGTAAATGCAGAAACTGAACCTAGCATTCATGGAAAGAAAAAAGAGAGAGAGAGAGAAAGAAATGCAGTGAAGATGCAGCATTCATCCAGAACTCAGAGCTGTTCTCCCTTGTTCTATTATCTCAGAGGCACTGATGTATCTCTAGGAAGTAGCTCAGGCAAACTCATCATTCCTGTTAGAGTAGACTTGAAGTGAAGGTGGAATGTATGAGAGTCAAACGTAGAATGGGAGATGGTGTTCAAACAAGCTATGGTCTTAGAGTCTTACAGCATTCCTCAATCTTGTTAAATGGCTGCCTTCTAGAAATGAAAGGATAAGTTATGGAAGAAGACTGTGGCTGTACAACACCAACTATTCTCTTTTTTTCAACTTTGACCTTAACACTGGCAGCAAGGATTCTCCAACACATTGGCATATAATAGTCCTTCAAAATGGCACTACTTGATATCCTGCCTTATATTTTCATTAAATGTTTCATTGCATAACTAGATTGTAAGAACTTGAAGAGCAAAGACCCCTTATGTTTCTTATGTGCTCCAAGCAAAGAAACCAGGTAAAATATTTATTCAGTCAAGTATTCAGGATTTGAAAATAAAACAGGACACATACGCATTTTTCACAAAAAATTTACTGAATATTTGTTTTGTATCCAGTAAGGGAAATTAAAGTTGTTAATTCCAATTGTTTTCTTCTTTCGGATATTTCTATCTTTGGGTCTGATTTTCAGATTTAGGAGAAGTGGTGTACATACTAGTACAAGTTTACTTGAAATTTAAAGGGAAGAGGGACTAGAAAATTAACTAGTATTAATGATAATGGAAAAAAAACTTCACAAAAGGAGAACTATATAAGATTATCATTTTCCCAGCTCCCCTACAATGAAAATAGGACACAAACTGGTATTTTCCTTATGATAAATACATGTCAAATGGACAGGAAACAAAAGCATTACTTGGACAGGATAATTTGCAGGGAAGGACATGCTGTAAGAGTGACTCACTAACTCGCTATTGTTCATCCTATGGCATGGAGTTTCTGAGGAAGAAATTTACCAGTATTCTTGAAGGTTGACTGTACAAAGGAAATTATGATACATGTAATCAAGCTGACTAAATGCCCTCAGAGAATGAAGGACTTCCACAGGAGCAATTGCATTCAAATAATGAATACACAACTGATTTGTGATTTCAGGCTATTGTTTAAATAAGATGAAGATCTGTAAAATGTATAATTGTGGCCCCCATCATTGGCAGTGCCAGAATTTAATAAAATAGCATTTCTTTAAAAATGTTCTGTGAGAGTTTTTATTGTCAAGTTTATATCCACCTCCTGCTTACATTATTACTAACAATTCTGCCAAGTAAATTAGAATAAATGTTTGAAAACACTAAACCCAGGAGAGCACAAACTGTAGCACAGCTATGGTGAGGTAACACTGGCCAAGGAATCTTGTAGAAATGTGTAAGCTTTGGAGTCAAATGTTTCAGAACCAGTTTCATCATTCTTTAATCAAGAGAGGTTCTCTTTGAGATACGGATTCTTCAATCTTTGAATTAGAGGTCTTTGAACTTAGATCATTCTCCATTACACACACACACACACACATACACACTCAAAAATTTATCAAAATTCTAAAAGATTGGGACGCATTGTACTTTTCAGAGGTGAATACAACAATATTCCAAATAACTTTTCTTTCATACGTGCCTTGTTCTTGATCCTAGGGGAAAGCATTTAGTTTTTCAGGATATTTGCTTAGGTTAGGTGTAGGATTTTCATAGACATCCTTCATCAGGTTGAGGAAGTCCCCTTTTACTTCTAAGTTATTGAGAGTTTTTATTAATGGATGCCGGATATTGTCCAGTGCTTTTTCTCCATCTGCTGAGATGGTCATATAATTTTTCTTTAAGTCTGTTAATATAGTGAGTTACAATGTTTGATTTTCAATGTTAAACCAATCTGCATTCCTGGAATGAACCCCAATTGTCTTCATGTATTATCCTTTTACATATTGTTGAATTTGATATGCCAGAAGTTTGTTAAGTATTTTTGTATATATATCCTTGAGAGATATTGGCTTATATATTTTATTTATTGCAATATTTTTGTCTACTTTTGGTATCAGAATAATATTGTCTTCATTAACTGAGATGGTAAGTATTCTAAACGCTTCAATTTTTGGTAATTGGTATTATTTCTTTCCTTAAATGTTTGATACAATATTATTAATAGATTGTTCTCATACACTGTACTTCTACTTATACAACTTTTTAAAACTTCACAATATATTGTTATTGTGGGTTTTTCGTTTGGAATAAGTCATTATTTTTAAAAGATATTAAATAATAAAAATTTTGCTTTATCATGAAATTCACCTAAATGCCCAACAATGGTAGACTGTATAAAAGAAAATGTAGTACATATATATACCATGGAATAATACACAGCCATAAAAAAGAATGAGATCATGTCCTTTGCAGCAACGTGGGTGGAGATAGAGGCCATTATCCTAAGCAAACTAATACAGGAGCGAAAACCATAGATATAGATATAGATATAGATATAGATATAGATATATAGATATAAATATATAATTGGCAGTGCCAGAATTTAATAAAATAGCATTTCTCTCTATATATATCTCACATGTTCTCACTTATAAGTGGAAGTTGAACATTTAGTACACATAGACACAAAGAAGGAAATAACAGACACTGGGGCGTACTTGAAGGTGGAGGGTGGGAGGAGGGAGAAAAACGAAAAACTACCTATCAAGTACTATGCACACTACCTGGGTGACAAAATAATTTGTACACTAAACTCCTGTGACATGCAATTTACCTAAATAACAAAGCTATACATGTAACCCTGAACCTAAAATAAAAGTTTTTTTAAAAAAGAAAGATTTAGAAAGTAACTAAAAAAAGAGAAAATAGCTTTATATTTACCCATCTAGTTATCATTTCTGGTACCTTTTATTTCTTTTTGTATATACAAGTTACAATGTAGTATCATTTTCTAATGTCATGAACACTTTTTAATATCTATAACACCTCTTACACTGGAAGTCTGCTGGTGATGAATTCTTTTGATTTTGTTATTTCTGTAAATGTCTTAATTTTACATTCATATATTATTACACTTTTATTTTTGATAAATGTAGATTTACAGGTAGTTGTAAGAAATAACACAAAGAGAGAACTAAAGAATCTATATGACAGCACCTGAGTGAAGCACAGAAATAAGAGGGTAGGAAGGACAGCTTTACGTCATCCATGTCACCCTTCCCCCAACCCCAGATAGCACAGGAATGAGAGATCCTCCTTGTTGGGAAGGAGAGTGATGAGAGCCCCAGGCTTGTCTATGGACCTGTGCACCAAGACCAGCCCGATAAACCCCAGCATCAGGCCAACCCATATAGTCCCAGGCTTCAGACTCATCCCCACAGATGCAGACATCAGACCCACACCAGTTAGCAGAATGAAGAATAATAAGATTAGAGCAGAAATGGATGAAATAGGGACTAAAATATATTAAAAAGATCAGTGAAGCTAGAGTGGTTTTTTTGAAAAGATATACAAATTGTATAAAACTTTAGCAAGGTTTTCTTAAAAAAGACTCAAGTAAAATTATAAATGAAAGAGAAGATACAACTGATACTGGAGAAGTACAAAGGATCATAAGAGACTACTATGTACAAGCATTCATCATCAAATTAGATATTATAACCTAGAAAAAATGGATTTCTAGAAACATACAACCTATCAAGATTGAATCATAGGCTGGGCACAGTGGCTCATGACTACAATCCCAGCACTTGGGGAAGCCAAGATGGGCAGATTGCTTAAGCCCAGGAGTTCAAGACCAGCATGGACAACATGGCAAAACCACGTCTCTACTAAAAATACAAAAATTAGCCAGGCATAGTGGTGCATGTCTGTTATCCCAGCGATTTGGGAGGCTGAGGGCAGAGGATCTTCCGAGCCTGGGAAGTCCAGTCTGCTGTGAGCCAAGATCACACCACTGAACTCCAGCCTGTGTGACAGGAGTGAGACACTGATGAAAAAAAAAAAGATTAATCATGAAGAAATAAAAAATCTGAACTGACAATGAGTATGGAGATTAAGACAGTAATAAATCTCCCATTAAAGAAAACCTAGGACCTGACAGTTTCTCTGGTGAATTCTACCAGATATTTAAAGAGGAATCAATCCTAATCCTTCTCAAATTTTTCAAAAAAACCTGGGAAGAAGGGAAAAGTTCCAAGCTTATTTTATAAAGCCAGCATTACCCTAATACCAAAGCCAGAAATAACACTACAAGAAAATTACAGTCCAATATTCCTAAAGAACATAGATGTAAAAAATTATCAACAAATACTAACAAACTGAATTTAACAGCACATTAAAAGGATCATACACCATGATCAAGTGGAATTTATCCCTGGGATGCAAGGATAGTTAAACATAACCAAATCAGTAAATATAATACCAACACTGAAAGAATAAAGAATAGAAATTAAGAAGATAATCTCAATACATGCAGACAAAACATTTGACAAAACATCTTTTCATGATAAAAACTCTCAACAAATTAAGTACAGAAGGAATGAACCCCAACACAATAAAGCCTATATACAACAAGCCCACAGCTAACATCATATTCGACTGTGAAAAGCTAAAAGCTTTGTCTCTAAGATTAAGAACAAGACAATGATGCCCACTTTCTCTACTTCTTTTCAACGTAGTACTGAAAGTCCAACTAGAGGATTAGGAAAGAAAAAGAAATAAAATGCATCCAAATAAGAAAAGAAAAACTAAGATTTTCTCTGTGAATGGCATGATCATATACATAGAAAACGCTAAATACTCCACCCACTCAAACACACATGTGAAAGAAACCATTAGAACCAATAAACTAATTTGATAAAGTTGTGGGATACAAAATCAACATACAAAATGCAGCTGTATGTTTTTAAACACTGTCAATGAACTGAGAAAAATTAAGAAAACCATCTCATTTACAATCACGTCAAGAAGAATAAGATACTTAAGAACAAACTTAACCAAGGAGATGAAAGACTTGTACAATGAAAACTAGAAAACACTGATGAAAGAAATTAAGGCTGACATAAATGAATGTAAAGAGATTTCATGTTTATGGATTAAATGAAAATGTTATTAAAATGTTTATACTATCCAAGTTAATCTGCAGATATAATGCAACTTTTATTAAAATCCCAATGGCATTTTCTGAAGAATAGAAAAACAATTCTACAATTCATATGGAACCACAAAACTCCCCAAATGGCCAAAGCAATCTTGAGTAAGAAAACAAAACTAGAGGTTTCCCACTAATTGACATCAAACTATATGGCAAAGCTACAGTAATCAAAACATGATAGCACTGGCAGAAAAATTGGATAGAATGGACCTTTGGAACAGAATAGAAGGCCTAGAAATAAACTCATTCATATCTGTATGGTCAACTGATCTTCAACAGAAGTACCAAAAATACACAAAACTGGGGAAAACTGGGTGTCTACATGCAAAAAAAAGAAAAGAAAAGAAATTGTATCTTTATTTTATACCATTTTATACCATACACAAAAATTAGCTCATAATGGATTTTTAAAAGCAATACCTTGAGCTATAAGACTTCTAATAGAAAATAGAAGGGAAAATCTTGAAATTTGTCTTAGTAATGATTTCTTGGATATAATACAAAAACCTCAGGTAACAAAAGCAGAAATGGATAAATGGGACTGCATAAAACTAAAAAGCTTCTGCACAGCAAAGGAAGCAATCAACAAAATGATCAAGCAACCTACAGACTAAGAGAAAATATTTGCAAACAATATATTTGATAATGAGTTAATATGCAAATATATAAGGAATTCCTACAACTCAATAGCAATAAAATAAAATAACTTTATTTCTTTTTTTCTTTTTCTTTTTTTTTACATGCATATATCTGCTTTCTCTTTTTTATTATACTTTAAGTTCTAGGGTACATGTACACAACGTGCACATGTTACATATGTATACATGTGCCATGTTGGTGTGCTGCACCCATTAACTCATCATTTACATTAGGTATATCTCCTAACGCTATCCCTCCCCTCTTCCCCCACCCCATGACAGGCCCCAGTGTGTGATGCTCCCCTTCCTGTGTCCAAGGGTTCTCATTGTTCAGTTCCCACCTATGAGTGAGAACATGCAGTGTTTGGCTTTTTGTCCTTGCGATAGTTTGCTGAGAATGATGGTTTCCATCTTCATCCATGTCCCTACAAAGGACATGAACACATCATTTTTTATGGCTGCATAGTATTCCATGGTGTATATGTGCCACATTTTCTTAATCCAGTCTATCATTGATGGACATTTAGGCTGATTCCAAGTCTTTGCTATTGTGAATAGTGGCACAATAAACATACGTGTGCATGTGTCTTTATAACAGCATGATTTATAATCCTTTGGGTACATACCCAGTAACGGGATGGCTGAGTAAAATGGTATTTCTAGTTCTAGATCCTTGAGGAATCGCCACACTGTCTTCCACAATGGTTGAACTAGTTTACAGTCCCACCAACAGTGTAAAAGTGTTCCTATTTCTCCACATCCTCTCCAGCACCTGTTGTTTCCTGACTTTTTAATGATCGCCATTCTAACTGGTGTGAGATGGTATCTCATTGTGGTTTTGATTTGCATTTCTCTGATGGCCAGTGATGATGAGCATGTTTTCATGTGGCTGTTGGCTGCATAAATGTCTTCTTTTGAGAAGTGACTGTTCATATCCTTTGCCCACTTTTTAATGGGGTTTTTTTTTCTTGTAAATTTGTTTGAGTTCATTGTAGATTCTGGATATTAGCCCTTTGTCAGATGAGTAGAATGCAAAAATTTTCTCCCATTCTGTAGGTTGCCAGTTCAGTCTGATGGTAGTTTCTTTTGCTGTGCAGAAGCTCTTTAGTTTAATTAGACCCCATTTGTCAATTTTGGCTTTCGTTGCCATTGATTTTGGTGTTTTAGACAAGAAGTCCTTGCCCATGCCTATGTCCTGAATGGTATTGCCTAGGTTTTCTTCTAGGGTTTTTATGGTTTTAGGTCTAACATTTAAGTCATTAATCCATCTTGAATTAATTTTTGTATAAGGTGTAAGGGAGGGATCCAGTTTCAGCTTTCTACATACGGCTAGCCAGTTTTCCCAACACCATTTATTAAATAGGGAATCCTTTCCCCATTGCTTGTTTTTGTCAGGTTTGTCAAAGATCAGATGGTTGTAGATGTGTGGTATTATTTCTGAGGGCTCTATTCTGTTCCATTGGTCTGTATCTCTGTTTTGGTACCAGTACCATGCTGTTTTGGTTACGGTAGCCTTGTAGTATAGTTTGAAGTCAGGTAGCGTGATGCCTCCAGCTTTGTTCTTTTGGCTTAGGATCATCTTTGCAATGCGGGCTCTTTTTTGGTTCCATATGAACTTTAAAGTAGTTTTTTCCAATTCTGTGAAGAAAGTCATTGGTAGCTTGATGGGGATGGCATTGAATCTATAAATTACCTTGGGCAGTATGGCCATTTTCACGATACTGATTCTTCCTATCCATGAGCATGGAATGTTCTTCCATTTGTTTGTGTCCTCTTTTATTTCATTGAGCAGTGGTTTGTAGTTCTCCTGAAGAGGGCTGAGAGATTTTGTCACCACCAGGTCTGCCCTAAAAGAGTTCCTGAAGGAAGCACTAAACATGGAAAGGAACAACCGGTACCAGCCACTGCAAAAACATGCCAAATTGTAAAGACCATCGAGGCTAGGAAGAAACTGCATCAACTAACGAGCAAAATAACCAGCTAACATCATAATGACAGGATCAAATTCACACTTAACAATATTAACCTTAAATGTAAATGGGCTAAATGCTCCAATTAAAAGACACAGACTGGCAAATTGGATAGAAGACCCATCAGTGTGCTGTATTCAGGAAACCCATCTCACATGCAGAGACACACATAGGCTCAACATAAAGGGATGGAGGAAGATCTACCAAGCAAATGGAAAACAAAAAAAGGCAGGGGTTGCAATCCTAGTCACTGATAAAACAGACTTTAAACCAACAAAGATCAAAAGAGACAAAGAAGGCCATTACATAAAGGTAAAGGGATCAATTCAACAAGAAGAGCTAACTATCCTAAATATATATGCACCCAATACAGGAGCACCCAATACAGGAGCACCCAGATTCATAAAGCAAGTCCTTGGAGACATATAAAGAGACTTAGACTCTCACACAATAATAATGGGAGACTTTAACACCCCACTGTCAACATTAGACAGATCAATGAGACAGAAAGTTAAAAAGATATCCAGGAATTGAACTCAGCTCTGCACCAAGCGGACCTAATAGACATCTGCAGAACTCTCCACCCCAAATCATCAGAATATACATTCTTCTCAGCACCACATCACACTTATTCCAAAATTGACCACATAGTTGGAAGCACTCCTCAGCAAATGTAAAAGAACAGAAATTATAACAAACTGTCTCTCAGACCGCAGTGCAATCAAACTAGAACTCAGGATTAAGAAATTCACTTAAAACTGCTCAACTACATAGAAACTGAACAACCTGCTCCTGAATGACTACTGGGTACATTACAAAATGAAGGCAGAAATAAAGATGTTCTTTGAAACCAATGAGAACAAAGATACAACATACCAAAATCTCTGGGACACATTTAAAGCAGTGTGTAGAGGGAAATTTATAGCACAAAATTCCCACAAGAGAAAGCAGGAAAGATCTAAAATTGACATCCTAACATCACAATTAAAAGAACTAGAGAAGCAAGAGCAAACACATTCAAAAGCTAGCAGAAGGCAAGAAATTACTAAGATCAGAGCAGAACTGAAGGAGATACAGACACAAAAAGCCCTTCAAAAAATCAATAAAATAACTTTATTTCAAAACGTTTAAAGAAACTGAATGAACATTCCCCCAGAGAAGACATACAGATGGCATATGAAAATGTGCACAATATCACATGCCATTGTGATTTATAATAAATATATATATTTGTTTTTCATTTCAATTGTTGGCATGGAGGGCTTAAAACTCTTGGAATCTCCAAAGTGATTTTTTTCTATGCTAATGAGATTACTGATGACTGGGGGCTCCTGGATAGCCTCAAAATAAGGATTAATTGCCAGAGGAACCAACTAAGTGATTAAATGGTTGGAATTTTCAGCCTATCCCCAACCTCAACATGGAATCTCCAGGGTGGAGGAGGGAGGGGCTGAAGGTTGAGTTGATCACCAATGGCCAATGATTTCATCAAGTATGCCTATGTGTTGAATCCTCCATAAAAAATCCACCAGATGGAATACAGAGAGCTTCTGGGTTGGTAAACAAGAACATACCCGCATGCTGGTAGGGTGGTGTACCCTAACTCCATAGGGACAGAATCTCCCCTGCTGGAGACCCTTCTGAACCTTGCCCTATGCATCTCTTCCAACTGGCTGTTCCAAAGTTGTATTTTTTTATAATAAACATATAATAGTAAGTAAAGGTCTTTCCTGAGTCATGTGAGCCACTCTAGCAAATGACTGAACATGAAGAGGGAATATATCTCTGATTTACAGCCAGTCAGTCAGAAACACAGTTGACAACCTGGACTTTCAATTGACATCTGAAGTTGGGTTAGTCTTGTGGGATTGAGCCCTTAGTCCATGAGAGCTAACACTATATCCAGGTTGTCATTTCAGAATTGAGTTAAACCATAGGACACCCAGCTGGAGTTAGAGAACTGGCTGGTTGGGAAATACTGCACACATCTCACAGAAATGTTCTGTATTGAGTGTGAGCATAGAGAAAACAGTTGGAATGGTTCCATGGTGTAATGGTGAGCACTCCAGACTCTGAATCCAAAGAAAAACCGTTGGATTTTGCTAAATATAATCACTAACCATGAGGGATATGCAAATCAGAACCACAAGGAGATATCACCTCACACCTCTATTCGCAAAAAGATAAAAGATAACAAGTGTTGATGAGGATATGAAGAAAAGAGAACGCTTGTATGTTGTTGGAAATATAAATTGGTGCAGTCAGTATGGAGGTTCTTCAAAAAAATTAAAAATAGAACACCATATGAGCCAGTAATCTCACTTCTGGATATATTTGCAAAAGACTGAATTCAGGATCTCAAAGAGATATTTACACTCCCATGTTCGTTGCAGTGCTATTAACAAAAGCCAAGACATGGAAATAAATGTCCATCTATCACTGACTGTATGAAAAAAGTGACATATATATAATAAAATATTATTCAGCTTTTAAAAGGGAAGAACCCTACCATTAGTGACAACATAGATGAACCTGGAGAACATTATGATAAGTGAAATAAGCCAGACACAGAAGAACATATACTGCATGATCTCACTTATATGTAAAATCTAAAAACAATGTTGATCTCATAGTAACAGTAGAATGGTAGCTGTCATGGAATGTAGGGAGAGTGGAATGGGGAGGTGTTACTCAGAGTGTACAAAGTTTCAGTTATACAAGACAAATAAATCCTGGAGATCTACTGCACATCATAGTACTTATAGTTAACCATGATGTGTTGCATACTTAAAATTTTGCTAACAGGGTAGATCTTATGATTAGTGTTCATATCACAAAAATTAATTAATTATTTAATTTATAAAGTGGAAGAAGCTTGAGGTGATGGACATGTTTTTGACATTGATTTTAGTAATAATTATAGGGATGTATACTCATATCCAAACTTATTGAACTATATACATTAAATATGTACAGCTTTTGTATATCAATCATACCATAATGAAGTGGTTAAAAACAGAATCATTTCAATGTACTTATTCGAACTCAAAAGAGCTTAAGAAATAATCAGTGAGCTTGAAAGTACGTAGCCAGAAACTTCTCAAACTCAAATTCAAGAAGAAAAAAGTGAGAAACAGAACAGCATATCCAATAGCTTTGGAACAATTTGAACAGTGTGAAACATGTATGACTGAAATAATTGAAACAGTTTCTTATGCATTTCAGAAATAGTTAATTAAGTAAATATGCTACTTTTTTTTCCATTGCCCTGTTGATGAACATTTGGATAGTTTCCAGTTTTTACTATTGCAAACAAAGCTACCATGAACATTCACGTACAAGTCTTTGTGTGATATGGATCCGTGTCTCCTGGGTAAATATATAGGAGTAGAATAGCTGGGTCATATGGTACTTGTATGTTTAACTTTTTAAAAACTTCTCAGATTGTTTTCCAAAGTCTTTACAGCTTTGTATTTCTATCAGCAGTGCATGAGAGTTTCAGTTTCTTCACAACCATGCTCATTCAGTCATGAATATGACCATAGTCATTCATTTTAATTTAAGACATTCCAAAAGGTATATAGTGGATCTCTTTATGGTTTTAATTTAAATTTCCCTGATGATTAGTAATATGGAACACTTTTCAAGTGCTATCTGCATCCATATAACTTTCCTAATAAATCAACTATTCAAGTCTTTGCTCATTTTTTTAACTGAATTGTTTTCTTATTAACTTTTGAGATTTTACATATTATTTACAGATATCTTCTTCTGGTATGTGTCTTTTCTTTTTATCCTCTTGTGTTTTTCAAAAAACAGGAAAATTTTAATTTTTACGAATACTGATATCTCCATTTTTTTATTATAGAGTGTGCTCTTGGTGCCATATTTAAGTACTCTTTGCTAATCCCAAAGTCCCAAGAAGATTTTCTTATGTTTCTCTCTGGAAGTTTTATGGCTTTCAGATTTACATTCAGGTCTGTGGTCTATTTTGAATTAAGTTTTTATATGGTGTGAGTTACTAATTGAAGTTAGTTTTTTTGTATATCCCTATTTAATTATCCCACCACGACTTGTAAAAAAGTAGTTCAGGCTCAAGATAAGTGAATAAAGATATTTGGATGCAAAGATTAGTGATGGTGGCACTGGTGAATGCTTTTGGGCTTCTGAGGAGAGTAAGTTAAATGAAGGTGGGGTGAGTGGAACTACTATGTTAAACGGAAAGTTTATCTTACACTTTTTATTAAACTGCCAAACCATTTTCAAAAGAGGCTTTACTGTATTATATTCCCACCAGCATTCTATGAGGGTTTGAGTTTTTCCACATGCTTGTCAACACTTGGTATTGTTTGTCTTTTTAATTACAGTCATTTTAGAGGATTATAGAATCTCATTTTGGTTTTAATTTTTTACATTCTTAATAAATATTTATGTTCAGCATCTTTTTATATGTTTATTAACCATTGTTATGTCTTCATTGATGAAATGTCTGTTTAAATATTGGGCCTAATTTCTGATTTGGTTATTCCTCTCCATAATATTAAGTTGTAAGATACAATTAAGCAAATGAAAAATCAAGCCACAAAGAGAGACTATATTTTCAAAATGTTTAACTGATAAGGACATGTACTAAGAAAATATAAATAATTCTTACAGAATTATATTTGTATGTTATATCATTTTCCATTCTTTTACTTTCAACCCATCTATATTGTTTTCTTTGAAGTGAGTTTTTTATAAACAGCATATAGTTGAGAAATTGTTAATGTATTTTGATAATATCTGCCTTTTAATCTGATAATTTGTTTAGGTCATTTATTGATTTATTGATGTCATAGGCCTTACTCCATCATTGCATTTTTTTTTACTTGTTCCTGTGTTTCTTATTCTTGTTTTCAATTTTCTTGCTTTCCTGTGAATTATTCAATATTTTTCAGAATTCAATTTTGATTTATGTATGGCTATTTAAAGCATGTATCCCTAAGTTTTTAATATTTTCCTTAGCCATTAAAATATGTATGTAACTTATACAGTGTACTGATATTGACATATTACAACTTTAAATAAATTTGCTTCGATTTAGTTTCCTTTTTCCTTTTTCACTTTAGAAAATTGTATTTCCTCTACATACATTGATTGCCGCATGAGATGATATTACTACATTTTCTTCAACTGTCAAAAAATTTTTTTAAACACAGGAGAATATTCTATTCTATTTCTATTTTTGCCCATTCCATTGTTCTTTCTTCCTGAAGTTCCAAGCCTCCTTTTGCTATTATTTCCTTTCTCTTTGGTATGCATTTTTTTTTTTTAGCCATTCTGTAAGTATAGGTATGCTGGCATCAAATTATTTTAGGCTTCCTTATCTGGAAATGTCTTTATTTCCCCTCTTTACTCCTAAAGATTTTGTCAGTGAATAAAGAATTTGAGATCAGTCATTCCTTCCTTTTGGCACTTAAAAAATGTTGAACCACTTTCTTCTGCCATGATTATTTCAAATTATTTAAATTGTATCTCAATATTTGTCATTTCTCTTTACCTATATTGAATATATTAGTTTGGGGGTTTTGTTGTTGTTCTTTATAGTTTTTAAAACATTCACTATGATAGATCATAGCATGAATTTTTGGAGAATATTCTGTTTGGGTTTGCACAACTCCTAAATCTGTATGTTTATGTTTTCATTGAATTTGAGAAATTTTCATCCACCATTTCTTTGAATATTGTCTTCAGCCTTACACTCCTCCTCTTTGCTTTCTGTGACTAAAGACAAAAATATTAAATGTTAAGTGTTGTTCACAGGTCTCTTAAGCTTTGATTATTTTTGTTTAGTCTATTTTTTCTCTTTTCAGATTATATAAATTTTTGTGCTTGAGTTTACTGTTTCTTTACTTTGTTGTTTCCAATCTACCCTTAGGCTCAATCTGTGGGATTTTAAATTTTATTTACTGTAAATTTTAGCTGTGCAATTTATCTTTGGTTCTTCTTTTTCCAAAAAAAATTATATATACATATGTTTTTAAGAAAAACCCAGATGTATCAAGTGCAAAACTTTAATGACACCATATAAATTGTATTAGGTTAGCATAAACTTTAAACATATTAATATTGTTTTAAATATAAATTGATACATTGCATAAATTATATACTCATTTTTGCTGAGTATTGTTATTGCATTTTTTATTTTGGTATAATTATGTATTTATATTTATAAGAAATAAGAGAGATTCTGTGTACTTTACCTAGATCTCCCCCATAGTAACATCTTGCAAAACTATAGCACAGTATAACAACTAGGATTTTAAAACTGACCTTTTATAGCCAGACATCCACTTCTCTCATTTTGACACTTGGCACTCGCTAATCTGTTTGATATTTCTATAATTCTGTCATTTCAAGAACGTTATATAAATGGAATCACACAGTATGAAACCTTTTGATATTAACTTTTTCACTTACTTCGATTATCTGAATATTCATCTAGATTGTTACATGCATTAATAGTTTAAAGCTGAAAAAAATTAAAAATTTAAAAAAGCACTGGCCAACACAAAAACACACTTAAATACATAAAACATTGAAATTAAAAACCAACCACACAATCAAGTCTGTATAACAATTGGCGAACAATATAACAGGAAAAATTCTGCACATATCAATGTTAATCTTGAACATAAATGGGTTAAACACCCCACTTAAAAGGCACAGAGTGGCAAGTAAGATAAAGAAGCAAGATCCAACTGAATGCTATCTTTTAGAGACCCATCTCACATGCAATGACACCCATAGGCTCAAAATAAAGAACTGAAGAAAAATCTACCAAGCAAACAAAAAAGCAAAAAGGGCAGAAGTTGCTATTCTAATTTCAGACAAAACAGACTTTAAACCAACAACAATAAAAAAAGAAGGACATTACATAATGGTAAAGGGTTCAATTCAACAAGAAGATTTAACTATCCTAAATATAGATGAACCTGACACTGGAGCATCCAGAATCATAAAACAAGTTCTTAGAGACCTACAAAAAGACTCAGATAACCACACAATAATAGTGGAAGACTTCAATATGCACTGATAGTGCTAGACAGATCATTGAGCCAGGACACTAATAAAGATATTCAGGACTTGGACTCCACACTTGACCAATTTGATCTAACAGCTACAGAACTCTCCACCAAACAGTAACAGAATATACATTCTTTTCATCTGGACATGGCACATACACTATAATTGACCACATGATCAGCCATAATACAATTCTCAACAAGTTAAAAAAAAATCTACCAACCACACTTTCAGATCATAGTACAATAAAAATAGGATATAAGACTCAGAAGATTTCTAAAAACCATACAATTACATGGAAATTAAATAACCTACTCCTAAATGTCTTCTGGATAAACAATGAAATTACGGCAGAAATAAATAAATAATTTGAAACTAAGAAAAACAAACATGCAACATACCAATATCTCTGTGACACAGCTAAAGCAGCACTGAGGCAAGTTGAGTGTGCTTAACACTCACATCAGGAAGTTAGGTCTCAAATTAACAACCTGATATCACATCAAGAGGAACTAGGAAAACAAGAGCAAAAACAATCCTGAAGCTAGAAGAAGAAAAGAAATAATCAAAATTAGAACTGAACTGAATGATATTGAGATGTGAAAAAAACATAAAAATCAATGAATCAAAAAGTTGGTTTTTGAAAGAATCCATAAGATTGACAGGTTGCTAGCTAGCCCAATAAAGAAAAAAAAAGAGACAATACCCAAGTAAACACAAACAGAAATTTAAAAGGGCATATTACTACTGACCCCATGGAAATATTTTTTAAAAACCTTCAGAGTATTACAAATATCTATATGCACAGAAACTAGAATACCTAAAAGAAAAGGATAAATTTCTAGAAACATACAATCTTCCAAGATTGAACCAGAAAGAAATTAAAACTCTGAACAGACCAATAATGAGTTCCAAAATTGAATCAGTAATAAAAAGCCCA
Source organism: Homo sapiens (assembly GCF_000001405.40). Classification (NCBI taxonomy): domain Eukaryota; kingdom Metazoa; phylum Chordata; class Mammalia; order Primates; family Hominidae; genus Homo; species Homo sapiens. Next base: position 123,959,213 of record NC_000011.10, on the reverse strand, counting down.
CCAACTGGGAAAAGCCAGGACCAAACAGATTCACAGCTGAATTCTACCAGATGTATTAAAAAAAGCTTGTACCAATCCTACTGAAACTATTCCAAAATATTGAGGAGGGATTCCTTTCTAACTCATTCTATGAGGCCAACATCATTCTGATAACAAAACCTAGCAGAGACAACAAGAAAAGAAAACTTCAGGCAATTTTCTCTGATGAACATCAATGGGAAAACCCTCAACAAAATACTAGCAAACTGAATCCAGCAGCATAGCAAAAACCTAACCCAACACTGTCAAGTAGGCTGTATTCCTGAGCTGATAAGTTGGTTCAACATACCCAAATCAATAACTGTGTTTCATCACATAAACAGAGCTAAAGACAAAAAACCAAATGATTATCTCAATAGATGCAGAAAAGTCGTTCAATAAAATTCAATATCCCTTCATATTAAAAAACCCTCAACAAGCAAGGCATCAAAGGAACATACCTCAAAATAATAAAAGCCATCTACAACAAATCCACAGCTAACATCATACTGAATGGGCAAAAGTTGGAAGCATCTTCTTGAGAACTGGAACAACACAAGGATGCCCATTCTCATCACCCCTATTTGATATAGTACTAGAAGCCCTTGCCAGAGCAATCAGCCAAGAGAAAGAAATTAAAGGCATCCAAATAGAAAAAGAAGAATTCAAACTCTCTCTCTTCATTGACAATATGATTCTATACCTAGAAAATCCTAAACACTTTGTCAGAAGTCATAAATGACTTCAGTAAAGTCAGTATACAAAATCAATGTACAAGTATCAGTAACATTCCTATACACAACATTCAGGATAAGCATAAACCAATACCACAATCCCACTTTCAATAGCCACCAAGAAAATGAAATAACTATGAATATAACTAACCATAGAGGTGAAAGATCTATACAAGTAGAACTACAAAACACTGAAGAAAAAATCAGAGATAACACAAACAAATGGAAAACATTCCATACTCATAGATAAGAAGAACCAATATTGCTAAAATGGCCATACTACCCAAAGCATTGTACAAATTCAATGCTATTCCTATCAAACCACCAATGACATTCTTTACAAAATTAGGAAAAATATTATTTTAAAATGCACATGAAACCAAAAAAGAGCCTGAATAGCCATATCAATTCAAAGAGAATAAAGCTGACTTCAAACTATACCACAAGACTACAGTAACGAAAACAGCATGGTACAAAAACAGACACATAGCCCAATGGAACATAATAGAGAACACAAAAATAAAGCCACATGACTACAACATTCTGATCTTCAAAAAAAAAAAAAAAGATGATAAAAACAAGCAATGGGGGAAAGACACCCTATTCAATAAATGGTGCTGGGATAACTGGCTAGCCATATGCAGAAGATTAAAACCGGACCACTTACTTACACCATATACAAAAATCAACTCAAGATGAATTAAAGACTTAAATGTTAAACCTAAAACTATAAGAACCCTTAAAGGAAACCTAGGATATAGCATTTTGAACATTGGCCCTGGCAAAAGATTTCATGACGAAGACACAAAAAGCAATTGCAACAACAACAAAAAAAAAAACTGACAAATTAGACCTAATTAAACTAAAGAGCTTCTTCACAGCAAAGACACTATCAATAGAGTAAACAGACAACCCACAGAATGGAAGAAAATATTTGCAACCTATGCATCTGACAATGGTCTAATATCCAGAAGCCATAACGAACTTAAACAAATTTAAAACCAAAAAAACAACCCCATAAAAAGTGGGCAAAGGACATGAACAGACACTTTTCAAAAGAAGACATATAAGCTGCCAACAAGCATATGAAAAAAGTGTTCAATATCACTAATCATTAGAGAAATGCAAATCAAAATCACAATGAGATACAATCTCACACCAGTCAGAATGGCTACTATTAAAAAGTCAAAAAATGACAGATGCTGGTGAAGTTGTGGAGAAAAGGGAATACTTATACACTGCTGGTGGGAATGCCAATTAGTTCAGCCATTATAGAAAGCAGTTTGGTGATTTCTCAACAAACTTAAAATGGAACTACCATTCAACCCAGAAATCCCATTATGGGTGTATATTCAAAGGAAGATAAATTGTTCTATCATAAAGACACAGGCATATGTATGTTCCTTGCATCACTATTAACAATAGCAAAAACATGGTATCAATTTAAACATATCAGTGGTGGACTGGATAAAGAAAATGTGGTATGTATACACCATGGAATATTACACAGCCATTAAAAAGGGATGATATCATAGTCTTTCTCCTGAATGTCTCACTTTTTTCCAGTATTGTTTTCCTGATAGTGTTTAGTTGTCTATTTGTGTAGCTCACTGAGCTTCTTCAAGAATATTATTTTAAATTATTTTTAGGCAATTTGTAGATCTTTATTTCTTTGGGTTTAGTCATTACAGCTTTATTTTCTTCTCTTTTTTGGTATTATATTTTCTTGGTTCTTCATATTTCTTGAAGTTTTACATTGCTATCTTCACTTTTTAAAAAGTAACCTCCTTCAGTCTTTACAGACTGGCTTCAGGAGAGAAAGAGAGTTTGCCAGTAAGCCTGCCTAGAGATTCTAAGGGTCTCTCATGCCTTTTGTATAGATGTGCCTCCTCTGATCCTCTTGTTTCCTCTTAAGGAGAAAGTCTTAGGATTGTGTGCCTTCCCCTGATCCTACAAAGCTCGGGCTGTTGCAAACAGCTGCCTGTTTATTTTCCCTAGGGAAGTGCCCTGAAGTATACAAGATGTGCACCTTCTCCCAAACCAGCAGAGTTGAGACAACTGCCAAGATTCACTCCTGCTGTTAAGATCTGTGTGCTGACTGTAGGAGCTTGTGCAGGCCATCACAGGTGTACACAGTGCACTGTCCACCTGGGGGGTGGTGCATGAGGCACTGAGGGTTTACATTGACTGGTTTGGGGAGTCCACAGGCAAGGTTTGTAGGTGGGCCTTTTGGTGGAGTCTGCAAGTTAGTCAGCAGGATCTGTGGCAGGCTGTTGAATTCCACACCCTGGTTTCTGTTACTCCCTGCCTCTTCTCCCTGTGCCTAGCTGCTCTCACAGCATTCAGTTATGTTGAACTTCTCAGTGTTCTGGGTAAGAAAAGACCTACAAGGGGCTCCTGGAAGACTGGGGAAGCCAGGAGCTCACTTCACTTATACCTTGTTTCATGGGAAAAAAAATCACAACTGAGAGGACTCAGCAGAGAGAGTATTGAGGAGGGAAAATATGGATAAAATTTAACTTCCCTTCTTTCTCTCTTTAATGTGTCCACTCTTGGATTTTTTACTTTACTGGGGTGCTGGAACTTCTCAGCTAGCTTTTGGAACTCCCACAAAGATATTCTCATCCATGAATGCTGCCAAAATCAGTGTTTCCATAGGAGGATGAGGGCTGGAATCTCTATTCTGTCATCTCGCTGACATCACTCACCTCTGTTGCTCATTTTTAAAGATGCTTGAAATTTTATAACAATCTGGTATTCACTGAGGCTAACTACTAACATTTTTTTTTCTTTTTTGTAATTTTAATTTTTATTTTTAGTTCTGGGGTACATGTGTGGGATGTGCAGGTTTGTTACATAGGTAAACGTGTGCCATATGGCTTGCTGCACCTATCAACCCATCACCTAGGTATTAAGCCCTGCATGCATTAGCTATTTTTCCTAATGCTCCCCTTCCTCCCACCCAACCCCCTGACAGGCCCCAGTGTGTGTTGTTCCTCCCCTGTGTCCATGTAATCTCATTGATCAGCTCCCACTTACAAGTAAGAACATGCGGGTTTTGGTTTACTGTTCCTGCATTCGTTTTCTGAGGATAATGGTTTCCAGCTTCCTCCATGTTCCTGCGAAGGATATGATCTCATTCCTTTTGGTGGCCTCATGGTATTCCATGTTGTATACGTTGTATATGCACCTCATTTTCTTTATCCAGTCTATCATTGATGAGCATTTGGGTTGATTCCCTGTCCTTGCTATTGTGAATAGTATTGCAATGAATATAGCTGTGCATGTATCTTGGTAATAGAATGATTTATATTCCTTTGGGTATACACCCTGTAATGGGATTGCTGGGTCAAATGGTATTTCTGGTTCTACATCCTTGAGGAATCACCACACATCTTCCAAAATTGTTGAACTAATTTTCATTCCCACCAACAGTGTAAAACTGTTCCTATTTCTTCACAACCTCACCAGCATCTGTTGTTTCCTGACTTTTTAATAATGGCCATTCTGATTGGCATGAGATGGTATCTCATTGTAGTTTTTATTTGCATTTTTCTAACGATCAGTGATGTTGAGCTTTTTTTCATATGTTTGTTGGCTGTATGAATATCTTCTTTTGAGAAGTGTCTGTTCATGTTCTTTATCCACTTTTTAATGGGGTTGTTTGTTTCTTTCTTGGTAAATTGGTTTGAGTTTCTTGTAAATTCTGGATATTAGGCATTTGTCAGATGAATAGATTGCAAAAAACTTCTCTCACTCTATAGGTTGCCTGTTCACTCTGATGCTAGTTTCTTATGCTGTGCAGAAGCTCTTTAGTTTAATAAGATCCCGTTTGTCAATTTTTGCTTTCATTACAATTGTTTTTGGCAACTTTATCATTAAATCTTTTCTCATGCCTATGTCCTGAATGGTATTGCCTAGATTTTCTTGTAGGTTTTTTATAGTTCGGGGTTTTACATTTAAGTCGTTAATCTATCTTGAGTTAATTTTCGTATAACATGTGAGGAAGGTGTCCAGTTTCAATTTTCTGCGAATGGATAGCCAGTTCTCCCAGCACTATTTATTAAATAGGGAATCCTTTCCCCATTGCTTGTTTTTGTCAGGTTTGTTGAAGATCAGATGATTGTAGATATGTGATCTTATATCTGAGTTCTGTATTATGAATTGTAAAACAGTTTTTTCTAATTCTGTGAAGAATGTCAGTGGTAGTTTAATGAGAATGGCATTGAATCTATAAATTACTTTGGGCAGTGTGGTGATTGTCACAATATTGATTCTTCCTGTCCGTGAGCATGGAATATTTTTTCATTTGTTTGTGTCCTCTCTAGTTTCCTTGAGCAGTGGTTTATAATTCTCCTTGAAAAGGTCCTCCACTTCCCTTGTTAACTGTATTCCTAGGTATTTTATTATCTTTGTAGCAATTGTGAATGGGAGTTCATTCATGATTTGGCTCTCTGCTTGCCTGTTGTTGGTGTATAGGAATGCTTGTGATTTTTGCACATTGGTTTTATATCCTGAGACTTTGCTGAAGTTGCTTATGAGCTTAAGAGCTTTTGGGATGCGATAATGGGATTTTCTATATATAGGATCGTGTCATTTACAAACAGAGGTATTTTGACTTCCTCCCTTCCTATTTGAATACCCTGTAGTTCTTTCTCTTGCCTGATTGCCTTGGCTGGAACTTCCAATACTATGTTGAATAAGAGTGGTGAGAGAGGGCATCCTTGTCTTGTGCCAGTTTTCAAAGGGAATGCTTCCAGCTTTTGCCCATTCAATATGATATTGGCTGTAGGTTTGTCATAAATGGCTCTTATTATTTTGAAGTATGTTCCTTCAGTACCTGGTGTATTGAGAGTTTTTAACATGAAGCATTGTTGAATTTTATCAAAGGCTTTTTCTGCATCTATTGAGATAATCATGTGGTTTTTGTCTTCAGATCTGTTTATGTGATAAATTATTGATTTGCATATGTTGAACCAGCCTTGCATCCTGGGAATGAAGCCAACTTGATCATGATGGATAAGCTTTTTGATGTGCTGCTGGATTCAGTTTGCCAGAATTTTATTGAGAATTTTTGCATCAATGTTCATCAGGGATATTGGCCTGAAATTTTATTTTTTGGTTTTATCTCTGTCAGGTTGTGGTATCAGGATAATGCTGGCCTCATAAAATGAGTGAGGGAGGAGTCTCTCCTTTTCAATTGTTTGGAATAGTTTTAGAAGAAACGATATCAGTTCTTCTTTGTATTTCTGGTAGAATTCAGCTGTAAATCCATCTGGTCCTGGGCTTTTTTTGGTTGGTAGGCTATTTATTACTGCCTCAATTTTGTAACTTATTTGTCTATTCAGGGATTCAGCTTCTTCCTGTTTCAGTCTTGGGAGGGTGTATGTGTCCAGAAATTTATCCATTTCTCCTGATTTTCTAGTTTATGTGCATAGAGGTGTTTGTAGTATTCTCTCGTGGTAGTTTGTATTTCTGTGAGGTCAGTGGTGATATCTCCTTTATCATTTTTTTATTGTGGTCTATTTGATTCTTCCCTCTTTTCTTATTTATTAGACTAGCTAGTGGTCTATTTTATTATTTTTTTTTCCAAGAAACAGTTTCTGGATTCATTGATTTTTTTTGAAAGGTTATTCATATTTCTATCTCCTTCAGTTCCACTCTGATCTTGGTTATTCCTCGTTTTCTACTAGCTTTGGGGTTTGTTTGCTTTGGGGTCGCTAATTATTTTAGTTGTGATGGTAGGGTGCTGATTCAAGATTTTTCTAGCTTTTTGATATGGACGTTGAGTGCTATAAATTTATCTCTTAACACTGCTTTACCTGCATCCCAGAGATTCTGGCACGTTGTCTCTTTGTTTTCATTGGTTTCAAAGAGCTTCTTAATTTCTGCCTTAACTTCATTATTTACCCAGGAATCATTGAGGAGCAGGTTGTTCAGTTTCCATGAAGTTGTGTGGTTTTGAGTGAGATTCTTACTCTTGAGTTCTAATTTGATTGTGCTGTGGTCTGAGAGACAGTTCGTTATGATTTCAGGGTTTTTTTTTTTTTTTGCATTTGCTGAGGAGTGATTTTCTTCCAATTGTGTAATCAGTTTTAGAGTAAGTGCCACGTGGTGCCAAGAAGAATGTGTATTATGTTGTTTTGGGGTGGAAAGATCTGTAGATATATATCAGGTCCACTTGATCCAGAGTTGAGTTCAAGGTCTGAAGGTCTTTGTTAATTTTCTGTCTCAATGATCTGTCTAATATTGACAGTATGGCGTTAAAGTCTCCCACTTTTATTGTGTGAGAGTCTAAGTCTCTTTTTAGGTCTCTAAAAACATGTTTTTTGAATATAGGTGCTCCTGTATTGGGTGCATATATATTTAGGATAGTTAGCTCTTCTTATTGAATTGACCCCTATATCAATATGTAATGCTCTTATTCGTCACTTCTAACTTTTTTTAAGTTGCTAATAGTTCTGGGAGTGTTGTGGCAAAATCAATAATACACTATTTTTTAATGTTTATGTTACTCATGTAACAAATAAAGGTATATTTTGATGGCAAAAAGGAAAAGATAAGAAACATTCCACAAGAGCATTTAAACAGCCAATAAGTTATCTTGTTTAGGAGAAGAGATTCAAGAAAAGGATCTGGAATGCTACATACTTTATGTAATTCAACACATATTCTCGATTTGGGTAACATCTTAGAATAATTTAATGCTGCAGTTTAGTTTTTGAGGTAACTCAGTTAATCAGTAGACATTTCAGTTTTTCCTAACCCATTCATATGGATTAACCATATTAAGTAGGCATGTAAAAAATGTTTAAAGAAAATTTTTAAAAATCCACTTTTTAAAAAATAACAATGATACCAAACCCCTCTCAGATTAATATCCTTTTTTTTTTTTTCCTAAGATGAAGTATTGTCACATAGGGGCATTATTTCTCAAGATGAATGTAGATATCATTAGATGTGTTAATGAGCACTCTATTTTGAACTCATTTCTTGTTTCTTGGCTGTTCTATAGGGGAAGCTTTCAGAACAAGTAGGACACCAAAATATCCTCTGGATAAGATGATTATTGTCATAGTTCACAGAAGTCCCTCCTCATTGGCATTTATATTATTTAAGCTTCAGTGAAGGAAACGGAAATGATTTTAGCTATTTTAAGCAAGAAAGAATAGAGAATTAAGTGCTTACAAAATCACCAGGTGTGCTTAGGAAGTGAGTTTTAGACTAGAACTCCAGGATTGACTCCCAGTTCTGTAGCAAGTTGACCCAGCAGGAAAGGTAGAATAAAGGTGGAAATAGTGTGCCCATAGTGCCCAGACCTGTATTTGACACTCTTAAGGCACACTTTATCTAATTCCTGAAAAGGACAGCAAGGCTGGCTCTTCACTGACCCCCTTTCCCCACAGAACATGGATAGTTTTTATTGAACTTACCATTCTATCATATTTAAGAAGACAAGGTTTGGAAATCCTAGAATGACTGAAAACTTTCTTTACACAGATAATTCTCATCAGTGTAACATTGTCCATTATCTATTTTAAGCCATAATATCTTTAGCATATGATGTCCTAAGAGTAGCATAAAATGGCTTCTAGGGAAGGAGAAAAAAACATAATTTAGTGCAAATAAAAATCCCTACTACACATTTTGACATAACTTCACATTTTAAAATTCCAATCAAGGTTAGACAATCATTAATAAAGCTTTTAAATATTCTTTAGATTTTTATTGAATCTCTTTTAATCCAACATTTTTCATTCATTTTACACTTCAGTGCATGCAAAATATTTCAATATAACCACGTCTAGAAAGGTAAACTCATAACAGTTTACAGTATGGTTTTGATGAACTACAAGTTCAACATTTTGGTGGGAAAGGGGTGAAGTACGCAGATAATTTGATAAGTAGATACTTTGAGCTTATTGAATGTATATAAATGAGAAGATAATTTTTATTTGAACTTCTTGATAATGAGCAAGATTCAAATATTTTTTCTCATCTCCGTTGATCACCTGGGTGCAAATTATACACAATTATTTCTCTTAAAGATCCTATGAAACCCATTTTACAGATGAAGAAACTGAAGCTAGGAATTTAAGTAACTTACCCAAGTTCATGCCAAGTATTATATACCATAATTAGTATGTGACTCAATGTTCAATGCTCATTGAAAAAAAAAAAGATTGGATTTTCAAATTAACACTGATCATATATATATATTCAAATATATCCATATATATATGGATATATATACGGATAAATATATATCCATATATATATGGATAAATATATATGGATATATATACGGATAAATATATATCCATATATATATGGATAAATATATATGGATATATTTGTTATAATTTCATTACATCGTCAAGATACCCAAGGCCTCACTGAGTCACTACCTAGCTTAAGAGAATTTCTTAAAGTTCAAATACAGTAACAAGTTTTCTACTACTTCTGTACACAAGAAGTAGCTCTATCTTTTTTTGAAGAAGTACAGTTCATACTCTATGACAAATCTCAAACGTCTCACCCCCTAAAGCCTTGAAGGACTAATTACATTAGTTTACTTTTAGAGAACTTTGGTCAAAGTTATTCCCTTTTGAGATTTCCATTCAAAGCAAGTTAAAGTAAATTTTAATTGATTGGAGGTACAAAGAAATAATCATGCAAATTTATAGTAACTTCTCTTTCAACACTGAGAAGGAGTTTTGCTTGGTATTACTTGAAGCATAAAGAACTGCAGATTCAAGAAGCCTTCTGTGTGCTCCATTGAACATAAACAGGATCCTGATAGAACTTTTGAGTGCACATTCCTCAAACTGGCCAGGGGAAGAAGCCTAAGAAATGCAGTATTGGAACAGGTAAAGGAGATAACTTATATCACCTCCTATGTCAGGCAACTTCATATATCCAAAATTTATTTTTATTCTTGACTTAAAACTGGACTCATTGGAATCAAGGAGTTTTGTTTATAAGTAATTTAAGGCATAAAGATTTAGAGTACTAAAACTATGATACATTTTATTGTACACAGCTATACAATTTCTATTTACTGATGGAAGATAGGAATGACAGCTCTTCATTTATATCCTCAGCTATTGAGTTCTGCACAGATAAACCAACACTTGAGCCCATAAAGTACAGCACTGCATTATGAGAAGCTCTGATTTGCATATTTTGAGTATCCAGAAAATGACCCTAACAACTTTCTTTTTCACTAGGGACTGAGTTAAGAAGCTTCCAGCTTTTGGAAAGTTTATCTTTAAAGTACTCACTGAAGTTTCATGGAAAGATAAGGTTTTACATACAGAGGAGCAATTGGTAACCTATTACATTTGAGAGATCACAAGACATTGTACCCTGCCCAAAATAGACAATTTCAGAGAAATTTTTTTATTCTGCAATTACAATGTTAGCCATTTTATCTAAAGCCTTCAAGACAAAGTATTTCTACATAAAAAGCAAACACCTGGAAATATTCACACACCTTTTTAAATTCCATTAATAAGATTATTTGGTAATTACTAAAAAGCAAGAATATTATGATACTACTACCAGAGATGAGAAAGATTCAAAGGTAGACCTTATATTTTTGTCTGTCTCAAAAGCCAACTCAGCCCATGTTCTAATGAGCCTTTAAACTCATCAGTTCGAAATAGTTTTTTAACTTAGCAAATAGCATGCTCTGTTCTTGCTATCTTCAAAGCAGGAAGCACTTATGTAATAACTATGAGTATATTTTGAACAGTAGTTTGATAATCTTCATAACCTTATTCTCCTATTTAAAAAACTCAAAATGTTAGTATTTGGCTACTCTAAACCTAAAAGACTCACGTGTCTGCTTGGTCTCAAAAAAACTTATTCTATAAACATCCAGTTAAATGTTACTAAACTTTTGAAATGTCCCATGCTGTCCCCAAACAAAATTTTACCTTCCTTTTCTCTTCCCCCATGAAACTGTGATTTTACTTTTGTCATGGATTTAATTGACATATATATAAATGAGAAGATAATTTTTTATTTGTCCTACTTAATGATGAGTAAGATTCAAATATTTTTCTAATCTCCATTGATCACCTGGGTGTACAATTTGCACATATGTGCAAATAAGAATATAAGGATTATATTTATTAATATAAATTTGATATTAATTTCCACTTGTCATCTTACTTCATCTGTCAACTAATGATAGGAATTCTACATATAGAAATAAATTGAAAATAAGAGGAAATAAAGAAAATAAGAATATAAGGATTATCAAACTACTGTTCAAAATATATTCATAGTTATTACATAAGTATATGCTGCTTTGAAGATGGCAAGAACAGAGCATGCTATTTGCTAAGTTAAAAACCGATTTTGACCTGATGAGTTTAAAGGCTCATGGAATTTGAGTTATAATGGAATTTATCATTTACATGTATCCAACCCTTATATACTATGAGCTCCTCAGTAGTTTATTCAGCTCATTCTGCTAGGTACCTCCTGTACCTGGTAGATTATCCAGCACACAACAAGTGTGCAGTCTCACCCTTGTGAGAATACTTTGCTAGCCCACACCTGAAAAAAAAAAATAGCCTCTGCATGCCTGTGGACATATTAGAGGCTGCAACAGCCATCCACACATGTTGTGAGAATTCAGAAAGCTAGATTTATTGCTGCTCTGGGTCATCCGCATAGTTAGTTCTATCACCACATTAAAAAGTTGGTGATGCTTTTAGTTTAGAAAACTCGGCCTCCCATATGCAGGCCCTTCTAGATCTGACCTTCAACCTTCCCCTCCCTTACACTTCAGTCCTTTACCCTAATAATACTCAAACCTGCTCAACACTTTTCCTTCTCCCAAAAGCCAGTATTTCTCCAACTTTTGATTGAATAAGAATAACCCATACAAATTGATATAAATTTATATTCCTGAGCCCTAAACCCAGAGAATAATTGCAATTTTATAGGTAGAACCTAGAAATCGGCATTTTTAAGAAACAGACCAGGTGATTCCAGTGCAAGTTTTCCATACTCTTAGGAAAAATCCAATAAATCTAAAGTCACCCTTGATTAATACGGTGTAAAATCCATTCAAACTTCAAGATTCCCAGAGTACATCTACAGAGCAGAAAGGGAAGAAAAGTAAGCAATAGTGTTGTCAATAAAATGGGAAGGATTTGGCCAAGGAAGGCATGAAAGGACTGCAAACTGAGAGGTAACAAGGTTAGGCAGACTAAATACACACATTAGCAAATATCAGTCAGCCAAGGAGAAATTTACAAAAGCAAATGGTCCAGATGGATGAAGGGCTAGAGAAAGAGTCTGATAAGCACAGGTGTATGGTACGCCCTGGCAGGGAAGTTCCATCTTACAAAAGGGAGATAGGACGATTTTGATGATTCCATCAAATTTAGGATAACAAGCAAAATGTAGTAATGCCATAAGGGAATACTTACTGGGGACTGATAAAATAAGTATGTATTTATGTGTGCTTCTAGATCTATAACCAGTTAGTGGCTAGAAATAAAGTGTATGGGGCTGGGTGCAGTGGCTCACGCCTGTAATCTCAGCACTTTGGGAGGCTGAGGCAGGCAGATCATGAGGTCAGGAGATCGAGACCATCCTGGACAACATGGTGACCTGTCTCTACTAAAAATACGAAAATTAGCTGGGCGTGGTGGCACCTGCCTGTAATCCCAGCTACTTGGGAGGCTGAGGAAGGAGAATCACTTGAACCTGGGAGGTGGAGGTTGCAGTGAGCCGAGATTGCGCCACTGCACTCCAGCCTGGTTAGAGAGGAGAGGAGACTCCGGGAAAAAAAAAAAACAAAAGAAAAAAGAAATAAAGCGTATGATTAATACTTCATCTTTGTTGCCAAGTAAAATGCTTCCATTTCTATGTGATATAAATGCAGCACATCCTGAAATAGAACTTGAAGGACAAGAAGAAACAAGTTTCAACAACTTATTCAAGGGGGTGGGGTGTGTCCATCTTCTGGGAATAGGGAGTGGTGATTGGGACGATAACCTCTACTGTCCACTGCTCTGGAGGAGGAGCTGAAAGACTTTTGGATGAAACTCAACCTAACACATATCCTGGGGGATGTTTTCATTTTTTCAGGATCAAATCTTTAAACTATAACAATTTATTTCTATATGTAGAATTCCTATCATTAGTTGACAGATGAAGTAAGATGACAAGTGGAAATTGATATCAAATCAAATTTATAATGACAAACTCTCATATATAAGATATTGTGGTTTAGCAGCTAATAATTCAGGCTCTGAATTCAGACTGCCAAAATTTTATTCACTAACTCTACTACTCACTAATGTGGGTCCTTAATCCCTCGAACCCTAAACCTTGCCTGTATGATGGAGAGAATAATAACGTATAGTTGCTGAGATATTTCACAATGAAATAAATACAAAGTCTCTGGCATATAGTAACTATTCAGTAAGTTCTAGCTGTTATCATTAGAAGCATCATTATATTATGGCATTCTAAATCCACATCCTTTTTTTCCCTTGATAGGTTCAAATTTCATGGTCTTATCCACTAGTGCCATAGACACACACCAGAGTCAGATAAGTTTAGATGTGTATCTTAGCTTTGTGTTTGAGGGTGGGTATTTTTTTCCCACACTGTTCTAGTTTGCTCAATTATAAAGTGGACAATAATAATAGTTATCTAATTGTGTAAATTAGATCATTATGTCAATGAAAAATGTGTGCATGTGAGTCCCTCAAAGTTCTAATTCCCTTCACTGATTCTCATCTTGTTAACCAGTATTTTTAGTGCAAAATACATAGGAACAAAAAAACATTTCCAACTATAGTACAAACAACTTCTAACTGTGTGACATTAAGCAAATGATTTAAAGCATTAAGATTATTTTGAGGTTGAAAATGACAAAATTGTAAACATGCGTATACAGGGATGATAGTGTTATGGTCTGGCATTTTGAGAGACAGCCAGCCAACTGATGAGGCTCTCCAGAACTGATAAGCAGTTATTCAGGTTGACAAAGAGAGGCTAGAGAACAGACTTTAGTGCATGTATTTTATCACAGTAGCCAGAAACTGATTTTGTGTGTTTGACGGACTTTATAAGTTACTTTTAATAATATTTAACCAAAGCTTTGGAAATAGCCACAGTAGCATGTTTTCCTTATCTGAAATGATTATGTTATCCTGAAACAGTGCTCTGGCCTCCTTTGCTGGGTTTTATTATGGTATTTCTTTGATTTTGGAGACACAAGCCCTAGACTAGCAGAATGAAGCATTATTATTACTTAGCTACTTAAATCCCAGACTTATTCTTTCCAAAATTGATGTAAACAGAACAGAAATATCCTTCAAACCTGGATTTCTTGCCTCAGTTCAATACTATCTGTTAAAGTAGCTTCAGACAGAATTGAGAAAATATCTGTGCTCCTCGTCTTTAACACTGTTGGTCTGAAGTAATAGATATTCCTCAGTTAAACTGTCTAAACTCTCAACACTTCATTCCTTGTCAATTAAACAATGTAACTTGATGCTCATTTTCATTCTTTTTGTCTTAGAACATTTTCCATTTTCCCTGATTAGGCCAAATCTATGTGATTCTGAGTATTTGGTGCTAGATGTTTAAAAAAAAAAAAAAGAACCCAAGATATCTAATTGTCTAATGAAATCCAGTCCTTCAAAACATGTGGATACATTTTACAGGATTCCAAAAGCTCCAAGGACAAGATGAACATATCTCCAAATTAAGGCAAAAGTTGAGAAGGCAAGTTGATATATACCATCTCCTTTGAGACCATTCTCCCTTATTCCTCATTTTATACTATTAGAATATTGAGCAAGCTGAAGGTAAGAGAAGCTAGTAAGCATTCCACAAGGAAGAAGGATTTCTAGCATTCTACAGGAGTCTGGATTGGGGGAAAAAAGAAAAATAACACTTTATGACAGGACTGGGCTTTGCACAATCCGGTCCTATTTGGCTTCATGGCTGACTAATGAAAATTAAATCTCTGAGTATACCGAGAGCCCAGATTTTTAAATTCTGTTATTTTATGTCAAGCCAGGACACAGAAGGACCATAAACACTAAAATGAGAGTTCTTAATACCAGTAAAATTTGTTCATGGTGCATTTGTTCTGTGAAGTCTTCTCTGACCCCTCTACTCCTCTGGACTCGTCTAAAGCCACACTACTCACACGGTTCTCTGCCTGAGCTCAACAGTATCAGCAGCATGTGCTGGAGTCACAGAAGCTCAGTATGAAATCCTGCCTCTACCACCTGTTTCCTACCTGATCATAGAAGAGTCACTTAAACTCCCTTCGTCATCCTTTTCTTATCTTTGAAAATAGTAAAACATAGTTTTAAGAGTAGCTAGGAGAAGAGATACTGTGCACCGTGTAAATTTTCAGATATATAATTGATGTTCAATATTGCCATGCTGCTTACTATTGTAATTTGTTTCTCTCTTTGTAAGTCACGTGCAGACCAAACTATAGATCAACATATTCTCAGAATGTAAGGAAGTGTTGGGTGTTCAATATTATTTTACCGATTGGTTAAATGATGATTGGTAGCTATAGACCAGTTACAGAGTTCTGTTTCATTTCCCCTGCAGGTGACTGAAGATGAACCCTGAAAACTGGACTCAGGTAACAAGCTTTGTCCTTCTGGGTTTCCCCAGTAGCCACCTCATACAGTTCCTGGTGTTCCTGGGGTTAATGGTGACCTACATTGTAACAGCCACAGGCAAGCTGCTAATTATTGTGCTCAGCTGGATAGACCAACGCCTGCACATACAGATGTACTTCTTCCTGCGGAATTTCTCCTTCCTGGAGCTGTTGCTGGTAACTGTTGTGGTTCCCAAGATGCTTGTCGTCATCCTCACGGGGGATCACACCATCTCATTTGTCAGCTGCATCATCCAGTCCTACCTCTACTTCTTTCTAGGCACCACTGACTTCTTCCTCTTGGCCGTCATGTCTCTGGATCGTTACCTGGCAATCTGCCGACCACTCCGCTATGAGACCCTGATGAATGGCCATGTCTGTTCCCAACTAGTGCTGGCCTCCTGGCTAGCTGGATTCCTCTGGGTCCTTTGCCCCACTGTCCTCATGGCCAGCCTGCCTTTCTGTGGCCCCAATGGTATTGACCACTTCTTTCGTGACAGTTGGCCCTTGCTCAGGCTTTCTTGTGGGGACACCCACCTGCTGAAACTGGTGGCTTTCATGCTCTCTACGTTGGTGTTACTGGGCTCACTGGCTCTGACCTCAGTTTCCTATGCCTGCATTCTTGCCACTGTTCTCAGGGCCCCTACAGCTGCTGAGCGAAGGAAAGCGTTTTCCACTTGCGCCTCGCATCTTACAGTGGTGGTCATCATCTATGGCAGTTCCATCTTTCTCTACATTCGTATGTCAGAGGCTCAGTCCAAACTGCTCAACAAAGGTGCCTCCGTCCTGAGCTGCATCATCACACCCCTCTTGAACCCATTCATCTTCACTCTCCGCAATGACAAGGTGCAGCAAGCACTGAGAGAAGCCTTGGGGTGGCCCAGGCTCACTGCTGTGATGAAACTGAGGGTCACAAGTCAAAGGAAATGATCTTATTAAATGGGAGATTAAATGTTTATTGAAAATTTTTTAAATGTGCAAGAAGTTTAAGGGATGTAGGCAACACTGTTCACTTTTCTCAGCTAATGAAAGAACAGTCTTCATAAATATACAACATGAAATACGGTGGTAAACCTTCATTTTCCCTCCCTACAACCTTCCTTGTGCCTCCTCCTCCCCACAGAGAAGGCTGATCCAATTGGTCAAATTTCTTTCAAGATGGAATCCTTGGATTGGAGAGCATGTGTGAGCACGTGACCCGCATACAGGGAGGCTCCTCCTTCTCTTCGTGTGTGCTTAAACACTTTTCTTACTGCCTCAGTCTCCTGTGTCATGTAGCCAATCAGAAGATGCTGAAATATGGAGATTCAGATTTGGAGCTCAGTGGGGAGTAAGAGGGTCTCTGAGGTCTTCCAACTAGACTGGGTACTGCAAATAAAATTAACCAGAACCTCTGTATTATTAGAAAATCAAATTCTGGCTGCAGTAATAAATGGTTCTCTGATTTGCATTTGTTATTGCTCCTTATGTAACTAGCAGCTCCTATAGGAATCTCATAAAGGAAGAATGTTAAGACCAGTGAAATATTTGGATAGCCCTAATTCCTAAGTCAAACTCTACTAACAAACTCAAATATGGCAACAAACTGAAATATGGCAACACTCATTTAATCATTCCTTTAAGAAATATTATTAAATCTCTAATATGGCAAGGCTCCAACTAGGGTGAGCCAAGGAAGATGTCTACAGAACAAATTTTAAAGAGACATGCACTTTTAGGGGAGTGTTAGCGCAGGGTCAGGCTGTGTACAAACTCGATAGTAAATGTCTGCTCATTGTTGACATGAGGCCCCTCTGTTGCTGCACCCTCATCTAGGCTGTGGTGCTAGGCTTGGAGAATACAGTATTAAGTAAGCTAAACACGGCCCTTTCTTTTATAGAATTTATAGTATAGTGGGCGATGGCTGACAAAAAATATTAATAAATAAATACATAAATCAGTGTGTAATTGAAATCTGTGATAAATACTTTTGAGTTTTGTTAGAGAAACTAATAAGGACAAATTAATTCGGATTAAAGATCAGTGAACACATCTTTGAGGAAGTGACCTTTAGACCGAGGATTGAGATTGAGCAACAGTTTGCCAGGCAAGGATGAAGAGAAGAGCATCCCAGAGATAGCAAAGAGTATTTGCAAACTCAAGAAGTAAAGAGAAACTGACAGAAGTAAATGCAAACAGAGGGTTAGAAAAGAGTGGAGTTAGAGAAGTGAGATTGGAGAGATGGGTGGAGGCCAGGTCAGACAACATCTTATCTATAATAGTCATGTGGATTTTTTTTTTAAAGGCAATGGAAAGCCTCTGAGTGATTGTAAGGGAGAGAATGATCAAGTCATATTTTAAAAGATGGATCAAATGCCAAGTCTATCTATGATGTCAGTATAACTCACGATGATATAAACTCTATCTGTGATGACATAAACCCACAGATCCTTAGAATCTATAAGACGTTTTAGGTACTGTTGAGCACTTGGGCTCTGATGTTGTATAGACTTGGGTTGAATTCCAGAAAACAAGCTCTGTAGCCTTAAGTAAGTTATTTAATGTCTCTAATTTGTAATGGACTCATGTTTAAAGTAAAGATGATACCTACCTCCTAAGAATTTTGAGAAAATTAAAATAATAAATGTAAATCACCTGGTACAGTGTCTGGAACATAGTAAGTTCTAACTAAATGTTATTAATATGATGATGATGATGACACTGATGGCAACAACAGTGACCCTAGGAAACTATGAGGAAGAAAGTGATTTGCCCAAGGTAATTTCCTTTTTCCTCATTGACGAACAGTCAATCAATCAATCAGTCTCCACTGGGACTCAGGGTCCAATATTTCAAGAGAACCCTTGTCTCAAAGAAATTTAAAAATATTTTAAGCTCTTCCAATGTACTTTGTGTCCAAAAAGTGATATCAGGAAAGAGACACCAGATTTACTAGTTGAAACTTTCTCAGCAAGGCCAACATCATTCTTACGTGGGAAAGTGGCCCCTGAGCCAAACAGTACTTCTACATAGAACTTGATACTTTTTATCTGGGAGGCATTTAGAAGCAGTTCTAAGACACTCATCCCATCTTCTATTGTGGCTAATAGTTCAGGTCACCAGAACCTGATTGAGGTTAAGAACAATGGAGAAGAAGTAGGCATAGATTTTATCTACCTCGAGGGTCCTATCCAGCAGGCTAATACCCTGTAGCATCTTTCAGATTCTCAGGTCACTGCCTCTGCTAATGTAAGGGTCTGTGCTCCAGGGGACCAATAGGGTCCTTTTTCCTCCTCCACAGCTTCTTCATGGCCATGATCACTTCCTTGTTTCTCAGGGTATAGATGGCAGGATTCAGCATGGGGGTGACAATTGTGTATAGCACAGAGACGGCCTTGTCCATGGGGAATGTCCGAAAAGGCCTTGTATAGACGTAGATGCAAGGCACAAAGATTAAGGTCACCACAGCAATGTGAGAGGCACAGGTAGACAGGGCCTTGCTGCGGCCCTCCCGTGAGTGGCTTCGGAGCATGACTAGCAGTGCTGTGTACGATCCCAGAAGCACCAGAAAACACATCAGGGTCACCAGGCCATTGTTAGACACCATTAAAAGCTCTAAGACAAAGGTATCTGTGCAGGCCAATTTGATCAGCTGAGGCACATCACAATAAAAGTTGTCCAGCTTGTCAGGCCCACAGAATGGCAGCTGGATAGTCAATGCAATCTGTACTATGGAGTGGATGAAGCCCCCCACCCAGGAGGCTGCCATAAGGAGTGCACAGACAGTCTGATTCATAATGAGCGTGTAGTGCAGGGGCTGGGAAATGGCAATGTAGCGGTCATACGCCATGACAGTCAGCAGGAAGATCTTGATGCCTCCAATGAAGTGGAAGAAGAAGAGTTGAGTCAGGCATCCACCAAAGGAAATGGTAGGGTTGCCTGAGAGCAAGTCAACCAGCATCCTAGGTGCTGTGATGGAAGAGTAGCAAAAGTCCAGGAAAGAAAGATTGCCCAAGAGAAAATACATGGTTGTGTGCAGGTGTGGGTCGGAGGTCACTATGACCACAATAAGAAGGTTTCCCACTACAGTCATAAAATACACAGCAGAGAAAACAGTGAAGAAAACAAACCGAAGCTCCCAAACCTGAGAGAGCCCCAGTAGAACAAATCCTGCCACCTGGGAATGATTTGCTGGATTCATCTGGTTGGTATGACCTTGTCAATGAACCTGCTAAGAAAAAAGGACATATTATTCAGGGGATCTGCAAAGTTCTCTAAAATAATTCCCTCTGCTTCCTCTGGGAAATTCTTCACTCTTTCATTTTCCATAAGGAGAATGTTGTAAGTGGTTCTGCAGGACACCAAGCATTTGAACATCATATATTGGTGATATCAAACTCCAAAGGCATAAAACTCAGGATAGCACTCATACTATTTCTGGTTTATGAGAATCAGAAGTAATAAGCCCTCAAAAATTGAAAATGGCATGTAGAGAAGAGAGTGTTAAATGGAAAATGAATTTTGATTCTTCCAGTAACTAGTTGTGTAAACAGAAACAATTATCTGCAGTTCTTTAAGCCTCGCTTCCCTTGTCTATGCTATAAAATTAACCAAAATGTCCTCAAAGTCTCCTTTACTTTAATATTTGATACCATATATGGCCTTAATTTAGAAAACCTGATGCATCCCTGCATGCCAGACATTTAGACGAAGCTTCCATGGATTGACAGAGTTCTAATATTTGTCCCAAAACAACAGGAAGTGCAAGTTGTCCATTACAGCCCTGAATAAATATTCAGTTGCCTTCTGATATAGCTCTATCTTGGATATACATTTTCAGGCCTAGCAGGATACTGAAGCCATGGGTAAGGGAGCAGAATAGAAATCACCGGGGCCGGGCGCGGTGGCTCACGCCTATAATCCCAGCAGTTTGGGAGGCCGAGGTGGACGCATCACCTGAAGTCAGGAGTCCGAGACCAGCCTGGCCAACATGGAGAAACCCTGTCTCTAATAAAACTACAAAAATTACCTGGCATGATGGCGGGCACCGGTAATCCCAGCTACTCAAAAACTCAGAAATTGAAAAATGGGATGAGCAGCAGGCCGAGGCAGGAGAATGGCGTGAACCTTGGGGGTGGATACCGCCGTGAGCTGAGATCACGCCACTGCACTCCAGCCTGGGAGATGGAGTGAGACTCTGTCAAAAAAAAAAAAAAAAAAAGAAAAGAAAAGAAAAAGAAAAGAAAAGAAATCACTGCCCCCTGCACTTTAAAAGGGTAGTGAAGAACTACTAGTCTCTCTAAAATTAGATAAGAAAACGTGATAGAAAAAGCTTCCTGTCTGGTGGCTCTGGGAAACCCAGAGAAACTATAGTCCCGGAGGAAACATAGGAGAAGGCAACAAGAATATTAAATCACTTCCGAATCGTTTGAATGTCAATATTAATTTCAGAGACATTACCCAAAGAATAATTTTTATTCATAGGGGAAGCAGCAAGAGGAAGCTATAAATATTAATTAAAATTTTAAAACCACCATCTAAAAACGCAGAGCTACCTTGGAAACCTTCAAAATAAAAGGGGTGTTTTCATACACTTAAGTACTTTAAAACATACTCAGAAAGATGACTAAACAAACTCTAGAATAAAAGCCTTCATGTTGCTGAATAGAACCGTGAAGTGTCATTTCAATTTAACTTAATATTAAGTATGGATTTCAATTATATTTTCTTTCCTTTGTCCATTCATTCAGTAAGCATTTATTCAGCACCTTCTACTTACTAGGCACTGTGCTAAATACTAAGGGGTTAAAGAGTAAGCTACAATGATTTAATACATCTCTAAGTGTGTAACACTCTGCATAGGAGTGTTCCAACACCTGCCCATCTATTAGGTTTCATCAAAACATATTGATATGGTTTGGCTCTGTGTCCCCACCCAAATCTCTTCTCGTATTGTAATCTCCACATGTAAAATGAGGGACCTGGTGGGAGGTGATTGGATCATGGGGGTGGTTTCCCCCATGCTGTTCTCATGATAGTGAAGGAGTTCTCACAAGATCTGATGGTTTAAAAGTGGCAGTCCCCCTGTTCTCTCTTACCTGCTACCATGTAAGATATGCCTTGCTTCCCCTTTGCCTTCCACCATGATTGTAAGTTTCCTGAGACCTCTCCAGCCTTGTGGAACTGTGAGTCAATTAAAACTCCTTTTTTTTAAATAAATTACCCAGTCTCAGGTAGTATCTTTAGAACAGTGTGAGAATGGACTAATACACATGTGTAGCCTCTTTCACACATAAACTGTGATCTAGAGCACATCAAACTACTTGAAGTTGCCAGAAGTTATGCTCAACCCATGCTTCCTTGATTTCCCTTATTCATCTCTATGTATTTATTTTGCTTTAGTTTTAATAACATTAAAACCAAATTTGTGTATTTAAAATACACAAATAATTGGGAATTTTCAGATTCGGTTCCAACATGTAAGACTTTGAAAGTCAATAGTCCTATCCTTAAAACAAGAAAAAGCTGAGTAAACCGAAAGTCAATGGCTTTTCTTGGACCAAGCAGAGACATGAGGTCACAGGGCAAATGAACACCTGAAAATCTGGAGAGAAATATGACAAAATACTTACAAAGTGTATATGAGGAAGGCTACAATACTCTGATAAAAGAAATTCAAAAACTAAATAATAGGAGAGATAGTTCACATTTATGCATAAGATGTTTCAATATTACCAAGATGTCAGTTCTTCCCAATTTGATCTATAGATTCAATGCAATATCAATAAAAATCCCAGAATTTTATTTTGTGAATAGCAACAAACTGATTCTAAAGTTTATATGAAGAGGCAAATCATGTAGAATAGCCAACACAATATTGAAGGAGAAGAATAAAGTTGGAGGACCAACCAACACTACTAGACTTCAAGACTTATAAAGCTATAGTAATCAAGACATTGTGGTATTAGCAACAGGCTAGACACATAGATCAATTAAACAGAATAGAGAGCTCAGAAATAGATCAACAGAAATATAGTCAACTGATCTTTGACAAAGGATCAAAGGCAATGCAATGGAATAAAGATAGCCTTTTCAACAAATGGCGCTAGAACTGGTTATCCACCTGCAAAAAAAAAAAAAAAATCTAGACACAGACCTTACACTCTTTAGAAAAATTAGCTCAGAATGAGTCAGATATTTGGGGATTTCAACACTAGTCTGTCATTGATTGATAGATCAAGAAAACAGAAAATCATAATATTGTGGACCTGTACAGCACAATCAATCAACTGGTTCTAGTTGACATTTATACAAAATGCCATTGAACAACAGCAGAATACACATTCTTCTCAAACTCACATGGAATGTTCTCCGTGATAGACCACATTATAGACCTGAAAATACACCTTAACAAACTTAAAAGAATAGAAATCATACAATGTATGTCTTCAGACTACAGTGGAATTCAACTAGTAATCAATAAGATAAAGAGAGCTGAGGCCAGGTGCAGTGGCTCACACCTGTAATCTCAAAACTTTGAGAGGCTGAGGTGGAAGAATCACTTGAGCCCAGGAGTTCTAGATCAGCCTGGGCAATATAGGGAGCCTCCATCTCTATAGAAATAAAAAATTATCCAGGCATGGTGGAGCACACCTGTGGTTCCACTTTCTCGGGAGACTGAACTGGGAAGATCGCTTGAGCCCAGGAGGTTGAGGCTGCAGCAAGTCATGATTGTGCCACTGCACTCCAGCCTGGGTGAGAGAGCAAGACCCTGTCTCAAAAAAAAAAAAAAAAAAAAGGTGGAAAATGCCCAAGTATTTGAAAATTAAAGAAGACATTTCTAAATAGCACATGGCTCGAAGGAGAAATCGCAGAACAAATGAAATGTTTTAATATAAGTAATACATTTAAAGGGAAATACAGCATATCAAATTTGGTGTGATATAGCAAAAGCAATGCTTAGAGAGAAATGTATAGCATTAAATACATATATTAGAAAAGAAGAAACATTTGAATTAATAACCTGTTTCCATCTTAGAAAAGTAGAGAAATAATCAAAACTTAAGCCTAAAGAACCAGATGAAAAGAAATAAGAAAGATTATAGCACAAATCAATGAAATTAAAATAAGAAATCAATACAGAAAATCAATGAAACTAAAAGCTAATTCTTTAAAAAGATCAGTAATTGATCAACCTGTAGCCAAGATAACAAAAAAGAAAATTGATATCACACAAATTACCAATATCAGATGAAGGAGGGGTTATCACTGCCAATCTCATGGACATTAAAAGGATAATAAAGTAATACTGAGAACAAATGTATACCTACAAATTTGATGACTTATATGAAATAAACCAATTCCTTAAAAGACCAAAACTTACACAAGGATAAATGAACAATCTGAACAGATCTATATCTATTTTAAAAATGAAATCAGTTATCACATAACCTCCAAAAAAAGAAAGATTGCAGCCCAGAGGCTTTTACTAGTAAATTCTTAAACATTTCAGGAAGAAATGATACCAATTCCCTGCAATATTTTCCCAAAGTGGAGCAGAAGAAACATTTTTCCTAGGCCATTCTATGGGACCAGCATTACCCTGATAGCAAATTCAGGTAAACACAATACAAAAAAAAGGAAAATTATGGGTCAGTATCTCCCATGAATGTGATGCAAAATTTCTCAACAATATATTATCAGATTAAATCCAACAACGTATAGAAAGAATTATACTCCACAACCAAGTGAAATGTATTGCAGATAGCAAGACTGATTCAACTTTCAAAAGCTAATAATTGTAATCCACCACATCCACAGGCTAAAGAAAAAAAATTATATAATTCTATCAACTGTTATCAAAAACACATTCTGCAAAATCCAACACCAATCCCCAACAAAAACTCTTAGCAACCAAGTAGAGAAGCACCTTTTCAACTTGATAAAGAATATTTGCAAAAAATATGCAGCTAGCATCACACTTAATTGTGACAAAGTAAATGCTTTTTTCCTAACATCAGGAAAAAAATAAGGTTACCTACTCTCACCTCTCCTATTAAGCATTATTCTGGATATCTTAGCTAGTATAATAAAATAAGAAAATGAAATAAAAGCTATTAAGAATGGAAAGAAAAAGCAAACTGTATCTGTTTACAGCTGACATGTTTGTCTATGTAGAAAATCCCAGAGAATACTGAAAAAAAAAAAGAAACTATTGAACTATTATAGCAAGGTTACAAGATGGGTTCGTATACAAAAGTCATATACTGAGATAGGAATAGCACTGGGTAGTCTCAGGAAGAAAGAAAAACCCAAACAACACCTCAAACAGGTACTAGGCAAAGAAACCATGGGATAACAGAAAATCCAAAATAAGGGAGAGAAAACAGCCAAAACTCTTGTCAGGGTGACATGTCCATGACTCTTCTGGGCAAACCCAAATAAGAGGAAAGGGGAGGTGAATGGGAGTTCCTGAAATCCTGTCCTTTTCCAGAATACCTGATGATTATTCTACCCCCTAATTAAAGAAACACCCATAAAATTAGAAACACAAACTTTTTTATGTGCAACCCATTCCCAGGAGCCCCCAACACTTCTCTCTCACGTGTGTACTCTCCCTTCACAATAAAAGCTTCTTGCCTTTCACTTTATTCTCAAAAACTGTTATCAAAAACACATTCTGCAAAATCCAACACCAATCCCCAACAAAAACTCTTAGCAACCAAGTAGAGAAGCACCTTTTCAACTTGATAAAGAATATTTGCAAAAAATATGCAGCTAGCATCACACTTAATTGTGACAAAGTAAATGCTTTTTTCCTAACATCAGGTCCCTGAATTCTTCCTTAAAAAGATGTCAAGAACCTGGAACCGGGCTAGGGCTTTGGTTTCACCAGTGTCCAGAGACCCTTTGGGCCTTCCGGCAACATCACCAGCAATGAATAACTGGCATTTTGAATTTTAAAACAAGGCCAGCTATGGTGGCTCAAGCTTGTAATCCTAGTGCTTTGAGAGACAATGAGGCCAATGAGCATTGAGGCTAGGAGTTGAAGACCAGCCTGGGCAGCATGGTAAGATTTGATTTCTACAAAAAAATTTAAAAATTATCCAGGCATAGTGGCATACATCTGTAGACCTAGCTACTTGGGAAGCTGAGGCAGGAGAATTGGTTGAGTCCAGGAGGTTGAGGTTACCGTGAGATATGGTCGTGCCACTGAACTCCAGCCTGGGTGACATAGTGAGACTCTTTCACAAAAAAACAAAACAAAACAAAACCAATACCATTTGCAATAGCACCAACACAGAAATATGTATGTATAAATTTAACAAAAAATTTGCAGGACCTATATGTGGAAATGTACAACACTCTGACTAAAAAATTAAAGATCTTAATAAAATATATCATGTACCCCATAAATATATACACCTACCATGTACTCACAAAAAAGTAAAATTTAAAAAAAGAGAGATATTTTGTGTTCATGGATTGGAAGATTCAAGATTGTTAAGATGTTATTTCTTCCTAAATTGATCTATGGATTCAACACAGTCTCAATCAACATCTCAGCAGCTATTTTGTAGATATCAGTAAGGTGAATCTAAAGTTTATATGGAAAGGCAAAAGGCATAGAATAACCAACACAATACTGAATAAAACAAAGTTGGATGACTCACACTAACTGGTTTCAATACTTACTACAAAGTTACAATAATCAAAGCAGCATGATATTCAGAGAGAAATAGAAAAATCAATCAATGAAACAAAATAGGGACTAGACACCTTCTCAAACAAATATAGGCAACCGATATTTAACAAAGGAGCAAAGGGAATTCAATGGAGAGATGATTTGTTGTCTTTTCAACAAATGGTGGTAAAGCAATTGGATGTCCATACGTAAAAAAAAGTACACATTTACACATTTGACACTTTTCATGAAAATTAACTCAAAATGAAACTTACACCTAAATGTAAAATTCAAACTATAAAGTTTCTAGGAAGAAAACACCCAAAAAATTTTATATGTCCTTGGGTTTTGATGATGAGGTTTTTCTGATACAACAACAAAAATACAATCCATGAAAAAAATGATAAATTGGACTTTCTCAAAATTAAAAATGTCTGCTCTCGAAATGACACTGTGAAGAAAATCAAAAGACAAATGATAGCAGTGAAAAAAATACTAGAAAATCACATGTCTGATAAAAGATTTGTATCTAAAATATACAAAGGCCCCTTATAACTCAACAATAAGAAAGTAAGCAATGCAATTAAATGGGTAAAAGATCTGAACAGACACCTCACCAAAGATATACAGATGGCAAATAAGCACATCAAAAAGATGCTAAACATCATTTGTAATTAGGGAATTACAAATTCAGACAATAATAAGACACCACTACACTACTATTAGAATGGCTAAAATTTAAAAAAAAATTTTTTAAACCCTATCAATTGCTAGTTATGATGCAGAGCAGCTGGAACTCTCATTCATTGCTGGTGGGAATGCAAAATGGCACAGCCACTTTGAAAGACAGTTTGGCATTTTCTTCCAAAGGTAAGTGTTGTCTTACCATACAAGCCATCAGTCATATTTTTAGGTATTTAGGAACTGTTAGAAAATTTATGTCCACAAAAATACCTCCACATGTATGTCTATAGCAGCTTTATTTATGATTGCAAAAATTTGAAAGCAAACAATATGCCCTCAATAGGTGAGTGTATAAACAAACTGGTACATCCACGCAATGGAATATTATTGAATAATGAAAAGAATTAAGCTTTTAAGCCACAAAAAGACATGAATAAATCTTAAATGCATATTGCTAAATGAAAGAAGCCAATCAGCAAAAACCACATACTGTCTGACTCCAATTATATGATATTCTGGAAAAGTCAAAACTATAGAAATGATAAATGATTATTGATTGTCAGGGGTTTTCTGGGAGAAAGTGTTGAGTGGGTGAATTACTGGATTTTTTTTTAGAGCAGTGAAACCATGCTTGATACTGCAATAATGGATCTATGACATTGCACATTTGTTAAAGCCCTGTAGACCTTTATAGCACAAAGAGTGAACCTTAATGTATGCATGTATGCATATATTTTAAAAGTCATTCAGGAAGTCACAAGATCCTAAGATAGAATGCAGAATGTGATTTTAAAAACCAATTGTATTACCAATGTATAAAGCAACCTCATTGAGGAAGGCAGGAAGACAGAAGGGAAAGAGAAGAAAGTATTGACTTAAGTAAGTTTAGAAATGAGAACAGTCTGTAAGACTAAAAGCAAAGCAACTATGCAAAACAACTGTAGTTTCATTTATAATTTTCCATGGAGGTACAGGAAAACAATTCTAGTATCACTATACATGTATACCTCAATTGAACAATTAAGTAAATAAATGGCACATTGTGGAACCCAGGATTCTCACTGTTGAAGTGTGAATTTACAGACAAGCAATGGGAAGAGGCTAAGATGATCCACATAGTAATGGATTAAAGATGGGGGCACCAATATAAATTCATGTTTAGCTTGATATAAACACAGATGGTCACATATAAAAATATTTATAGATACATGTATACACATGGACAAGTATACATGCATATACTTCCTTGCTGTGTCAGCTCAAAGTGCCTAGAAATAGTTAAATTCTAGGTGTGCAAAGGACACACCTAGCACTCAGATTTTTGTTTCTAATACATTCTCTAATAAAAGAAATCAAGTCTCCTTAGGAAAATAGCTGATTCTAAAACTGAGGCAGGAAATATACAGGATGAGCCTGGAAGAACTCATAGTGACAGAAAATGAGAAAGTGTTCAAAAAATTGATGGGATATATCAAAAAGACACAGGAATCAACTGAAAGAGATTCCATGGCCAAAGCTGAAGCAATTTGTACAATAAAACAAACCAGCATTGAATTTTAAACCAAAGCATTAAATAAACATCCATGATGTAAATACATGATTGAATAATAAATAAATGGGAGAGAATAGTCAAATCTCCCTTGCGGAAGAATGCCAAGTAATTTAGGTGGATACCCTCTCCTCAAGGAAGTGAAGCAAACTCTTACTCAAGTGCGAACTGCACATAGTATTCCTTCCAAAGAGAACATTATGGAAAGTGGTGAAAAAATGGTAAATTTCCAGGGGAGAACCTGACAAACATTACCCCAGTCAGATAATTACAATAGTGTCAATAGTCATATCATGTTGATAATATGTAATGTTGATCTATGTGACATTTTATATGACATATATCATAGTAAAGGAGAATTTCTCTCATGAATCAAGAATGGTTTAACATTAAAATGCAGATAATAAAAATTTCTATATTAATGGAAGAAAGAAGAAAATTGTGTGATCATTTCAATTGGTATGGAGAAAAGCATTTAGTAAAATTTAACATCTACTCATAACGAGTAGGAACAGAAAGACATTTTCTCAATCTAATAAAAGGTACCTACTAACAGCCAGAAGTCTATCTTATACTTAATGGTAAAATATGGAATACTTTCTTCTAGGTAGGAACAAAAAATGACGGCCCCTTTTGCCAATATCAAAGAAATAAATACGTAAAGGTTGGAAGAAAATAAGTCATTCACAAATGACATCATTGTTCATGGATAAAATCCTAAGAAACATAAAGACACTATTGGAATTAATAAATAAAGTTAGCAAGGTCATAGAAAACATGATCAATTTTTTTTTAAGATATTTGAATGTCTAAATACTAGAAACAAACATTTCTAGTATTTGGAAAATGGAATTTTTAATATGTCATTTAACAATATTCAAGCATCAATTTAACAAAAGACTTACAAGACCACGACAATGAAAACTACAAAAACTACAAGATATTGCTGAAAGCCATTAAAGGAGACCTAAATAAATGAAAAAGTGCCATAATTTTTTTAATTTTAGACAAAATAATAACTAATAATTATAGTCAACAAGTATTAAACATAAACATAAATATTATTATAAATAAACATAAATATTATTCTAAGCACTATTCTACATATATATAAAAACTCAATTATTTCTTATGGTTTATGAAATAGATACTATTATTACCCAGTTTTGTAGATAACAAAAATTGAGGCACAGAGGTTCTAAGTAACTTGGCTTAGAAATTAGCCCAGGAGATACAAACCTGGACCCAGGCTCAGTCACTCTGCTCTGGAGCAGTGTTTACAAAACAAAACACAAGGATCACTGGTAGACCATGTGATTAATTAAATGCTATGCAAAAATCATTTTTATTGAGTATCTATTATATATTTAGAAAATTTTTGTACATTGAGCTTATAATTTCAGAGGTGTTATTGCTTAAGACAAATCTAAAATTTATAGTCCTATGACAGTCTGCTACAACCAGTTCACAAGAATTACATGTGAGACACTTGTGCTTGTCCATCATTGTTCTACCATGACTGTCCAGTAGTCTGGAAGGTAAACGTGGCAGGTCTGAGGGCTTTATAGTCCTTGGGCTGGAGACAGGCTTTAAATTACTGAGTATACCTCCCCTTCAATTTTCACAGAAGAAAATGAAGAGCTCAAAGAAAATATTTCCATTTACTGATATTTGGGGGGTCACCTAAGGCTGGATCATCATTCTGTGATTCAAAAGCGAAGCTTATCATGGAGAACTCCATCCATATTCACAGAGCTCCAATGAGCTTTTCAGTGTCTCAGTTAGAATACAAACTGAGAGCCAAGGATCACCAGTTGGGAAAACCTCCAATAAGAGAGAAAAAAATAAACAAGCTGAAAAAGAAAATTTGGAGCAAACAGAGATAATGTAGAGAGCAAATGGAAATAATATCCTGAGAGAGAGACAAAAGGAAGTAATATCTAAAAATCAAGAAAAAAATGTTATGAAAAATATCAATCAGCTAACAACAAAGGACTCCTGAATACTGAAAAGTTGATAGCCATAATAAAAAAATTTCCATAGGAAGGTTAGAAAATAAAGTCAAGGAAATATCCTAAAAATGTGTGGAAAATAGTGAAATATGTGACAGAAATGGTACAAAAATCACAGAATCAAGTTAGGAAGACCAATATCTGATTGATTAATGCACACTCGGGAAAGAGAATAGAGGAGAATAGAGCGGGAAACAAATTTGTTTTTATAGCAGAATTAAAAGAGCTCTCGATTCCAACCTGGTGCAATGGCTCATGCCTGCAATCCCAGCACTTTGGGAGGCCAAGAAAGGCGGATCACTTAAGGTCAGGAATTTGAGACCAGCCTGACCAACACGGCGAAACCCCGTCTCTACCAAAATATACAAAAATTAGCCGGGCGTGGTGGTGAGCGCCTGTAGTCCCAGCTACTCGGGAGACTGAGGCAGCAGAATCACTTGAACCCAGGAGGTGGATGGAGGCTGCAGTGAGCTGAAATTGCACCACTGCACTCCAGCCTGGGTGACGGAGAGAGACTCTCTCAAACAAACAAACAAACAAATCACATATTGATAAAAGTTTGGAACACTTGGATGAAAGTAAATATTCTCATGATTTTCAGAGGCTAAAAATACAGATGTCCAAAAAGAAATAAGAATTAGAAAGGCTTTGAACTTCTTAACAGCAGCTCTGGATGGTAGAGCAATGGAGAAATACCTTCGACATTTTAATAGAAAATGACTTTCTTCCTCAAATTCTAGAATTGGTCAAAATATTATTCGAAAGGGAAAGTAGAAAAAAGACATTTCAACCACTCAAGTTCTCAGAACAATTTTCAGAAACCTACTAAAGATGTGTTCTTGCAAAATAGAGTAAGCCAGGACAAAAGAAAATGTAAGCCAGGTGCAGTGGGTGCACACCTATAACCCCAGCTACTTAGGAGGCTGAGGTAGAAGGATCACACTAGCCCAGGAGTTCCAGACCAGCCTGGGCAACACAACGAGACTCTGTCTCATACAAAAAAAAGAAAGAAAAGGCTGGGCACGGTGGCTCACGCCTCTAATCTCAGCACTTTGGGAGGCCAAAGCAGGCAGATCACGAGGTCAGGAGTTCGAGACCAGCCTGGCCAACATGATGAAACCCCCTCTCTACTAAAAATACAAAAATTAGCCAGCCATGGTGGTGCACACCTGTAATCCCAGCTACTCAGGAGGCTGAGGCAGGACAATCGCTTTAACCTGGGAGGCAAAGTTTTCAGTGATCTGAGATCGGGCCACTGCACTCCAGCCTGGGCGACAGAGTGAGACTCCACCTCAAAAAAAAAAAAAAGAAAGAGGCAAAGAAATAAAGAAAGAAAGAAAAGAAAGAAAGGAAGGAAGGAGAGAAAAGAAAAAGAGAAAGAAAGAAAGAAAGAGAAAGAAAGAAAGAAAATAAATATAGTATACAAGAAAGTGACTCTAACTCAAGGATATCCACTATGTAGGCCTAGAGGATCTAGAAATGCACCTGGGGTGTTGCTCAAAAATGACTCACTGTAAAAAATAATAAGTGAGGCGATGGATATGTTAATTAGCTTGATTTACTCATTCTGCATTGTATACATATATCAGAACATTGCATCGTATCTCATACACATATACAATTATAATTTATCAATTAAAAAATATTTATTTTTAAAAGTAGACCTAAAAAGTCCAGTAAACAGAGGAGTCCATTATGCTTCCAAATGCAGCACGTAAAACTCATCCAAAATCTAGGCTTGTCCTGGAAAAGGTAGAACCTCATCAGAAAATCTACATTCTCAGCATTCTCAAAAGTGCCAAACGTGGAAACAAAATTGAGATATATGGTTGCTTGTGTAAGCATATTTGACAACCAAAGCCTCCTAGACTGCATCAACGGTATTAAAAGAAAATTGCTTGTTAAAAACAAGGGAATTGTGGAAGGAACATAATTATAAAATTAACTGACATACTACTGTATTTGGACCTTTTAACAAACAGAAAAAGGTCTAGAGAACTCTACCAAGAGCTTTTTTTCTGATAAGCCAAAGTATAAAGGTCATACTCAGACTGCAGTCTTTTCCTCTGTATTCTCCAGTTGTGGTGGTGGGATTGTGGTTCCAGGCGTGACTACCAATGGTTAACAGCAGTTTCAGTGAAGCACTGGTTAAAAGAGAACAATTCCATCTCTTCCTCACACTAAGCAAAATGCACAGTGAGTAATGAACTATAAAAATTATTCCTGAAAATAGAGTCTTTACCACATTTCTACAGCCTCTGCTGGAATATAAAAACCACTCATATTTCACTAACAGAAATATTTTTCTCAGGTTACGTTCCATAATACATATAGCATAATGAGTCTGTCAAATGTCCATGTTCAAAAAACGACTTTTATTCATAAAATTTCTAGAAACTCTTCAAATAATAGTGTGTGCAATCGACATACTGTTTCTTGATAGCCAATTATGCTGAAATTCCTTTTCAGCCAGTAAGGCAAGTTGCTTAAGCATGTGGATATCTTCTGACCTCAGGGGAGACTGGAAAACTCACTCCATCCACAGTTGATTTTATCATGAACAATAAATCAAGATTTTTTTTAAAAAACTGTATCACTTTCAGTTAAGTTGTATTTCTCAAGGAATTTGCCCATGTCATCTAAATTGTCAAACCTATTAGCATAAAGTTGTACACGATACTGTCATTCTTCTTTTAATCTTTGTAGCATTCTGATTGTTGAGCCAGAATGTTAAGGAAAAATGAGTGAGCCCATCTGTTAAGGTTAATATTTCTCTTGCTTGATAAACAGAATTAGCTGTCTTGGAGAATCAAGTTTCCCACAACATAAATATTCATCTATTTAAATAAAAATGGTGAACCAAAATTGAATACAAATTAAGTAAATGCAGGGCTAGGAAAATATTAACCAGGAAAATGTTTAGAGAAGAAGCAACTGGAATAATAACATGAAATAAGACTCATTATATATATTTTATTAACAGGGATTGAGAAAAGATGTCATCTTACAAAAAGATGTAACAGTCTTGGAGAGTTATGAATCTAACAGTGTAGCTTCACGCTATGTAAAGAAAAGTGCATTTGAATTATAAGGAAAAAATAAATGATAAGTCCAGCTGTCAAAATCTACTATATTATATAAACAAAAAATCAGTAAGTGTATACAGAATTTAAATAACACTGATGACCAGCCTGAACTAATAAATCCATAAAACAGTGAGCTCCCCAAAACAGAAAGTGACATTGTTTTCAAATACTCATGTGTCTTCCCCCACAAAATGCCATGTAGCATGTAACAGGAAATTTGAATAAACTCCAAATGGCAGAGTATGTGCTATACCGTTACAGATTAGTAGTGAAAAAGTAGTTAAAACAAATCCACTAAAAAATTTTAAAATATATTTACACTAACTCTTCAGTTTAAAAAATTCAAACATAAAGTTAGAATATAGTTAGTTAGAAACTACATATCAAAATCTGCAGGCCAGGTGTGGTGCCTCATGCCTATAATTCCAACACTTTGAGAGGCCAAGGCAGAAACCTAGGAGTTCAAGACCAGCCTGAGCAACATGGTGAGATTCTGTCTCTACAAAAAATTTAAAAATTAGCCAGGCTTGGTGGCGGGTACCTGTGGTTCTATCTACTCAGAACTGGCAGGAGGATCGCTTGAGCCCAGGAGTTTGAGGCTGCAGAGAGACTGCGCCACTGCACTCAAGCCTGGGTGACAGAGGGAGACCCTGTCTCAAAAAAAAAAAAAAAAAAAAAAATTCTGCAGACAGAAGACAAAGCAGTAAGAAGAGAAGGATAATCACCATTTAATATATTGGAAAATAAAAAGAAGGAAAATATATAAATTAAGAATCTCACAAAAGACACTATAAAAAGGAAAAATACAGAGACAACAGTACAATACCTCTCTCACCCCAGCAGCACTCCAGAAAAAAAAAGAAAAAAAAACTATGGATATAATTAAACAAAAAAGTCTTTCTTTGAATAAAATAATAAATAACCTGGAGACTACTATATGGCAAGTTAGAACAAGACAGAAAAGGAAACAAACACACATTCAGTAGGAACTATCCAGAGAACAAACTATAGTGAAAAAATGGCAGTCTCTGCAATAAAGGG
The DNA here is from genome assembly GCF_000001405.40 of Homo sapiens. Classification (NCBI taxonomy): domain Eukaryota; kingdom Metazoa; phylum Chordata; class Mammalia; order Primates; family Hominidae; genus Homo; species Homo sapiens. The sequence goes on along the minus strand of NC_000011.10, from coordinate 123,924,761 downwards.
TGTTGGGAAAATTGGATATCCACATGCAAAAGGATGAAATTGAACCCTCATCTCACACCACCCACAAAAATCAACCCAAAATAGATTTACCACTTACACTTGAGACCAGATACTCTAAAATGACTGAAAGAAAAGATAGGGGGAAAACTACATGATATTGGTCTGGGTAATGATTTCTTGAAACTGACCCCAAAAGCTCAGGCAACAAAAGCAAAAACAGACAGACTGTATTACATCAAACACAAAAGCTTCTGCGTAGCAAAGGAAACAGCAGAGTGAAGAGACAACCTATGGACTGGGAGAAAATATTAGCAAGCCAAGCATCTGATAAGGAGTTAATATCTAAAATATAAAAGGAATTCAAACAACTCAATAGCAAGAAAACAAATAACCTGATTTCAAAAATGAGCAAAGGACCTGAGTAGACATTTCTCAAAAGAAGACATGGCCAACAAATGGCCAACAGATGTATGAAAAAATGCCCAGCATCACTAATCATCAGATTGAAACCACATGCAAATTAAAACCACAATGAGACATCACCTACACTTGTCAGAATGGCTATTATCAAAAAGACAAAAATAACCAGGGTTAGCGAGGATGTGGAGAAAAGGGAACCCTTGCATGCTATTGGTAGAAATGTAAATTAGTAGAGCCATTATGGAAAACAGTATGGAGGTTCCTCAAAAAATTAAAAATAAAAAGATCATATGATCCAGCAATTCCACCTCTGGATATATATCTGAAGGATTTCAAATCAATATGTCAGATACCTGTGCTCTCATGTTCAGTGCAGCACTATTCACAACAGCCAAGATTTGGAAGCAATTTAAGTGTTCATCAATGGAGGAATGGATAAAGAAAATGTGATATACATTAGCAATGGAATACTATTCAGCCTTTAAAAAGAAAATTCTACCATTTGCAAAAAAAATGATGAATCTGGACATTATGTTAAATGAAATAAGTTAGGTACACAGACAAATACTGCCTGTTCCAACTTACATGTGGAATCTAAAACAATTAAACTCATAGAAGCAGAGAGTAGAAAAATAGTTAAGAGGTAAGGGGAGAGGTAAATGGGAAGATGCTGGTCAAAGGATACAAAGTTTCGGTTAGACAGGATAAATAAATTTTGTTCATTCTATTGCACAGCATAATGACTATAGTTAACAATAATGTATTATATATCAATATATATCCTATATATATGATTGTACATACCAGAATTATGTACAATTATAATTCATTGATTTAAAATAATTTTTTCATTAAATTAAATTTAAAGATCACTTTTTTAAGTTGCACTGGCCATGTTTCAAGTGTTTTCAATAGCCCTATGTGGTTAGCGGCTACTGTGTTGGACAGTGCACATATAGAATATTCCCGTCATCATAGAAAGTTCTTCTGAACACTGAGAAAAATCAAGCTCCATTTTAATAATCTGCAAGGTTAGCTGTGTTAACAATGAGTTGATGCTACTTCAGATTCTTTATCAATGCCTCACTTACACTAAACAGTTATTTGGAAAATCATAATATGGGCAGGAGCTTCAATTATCTTTGCCTATTGTGAAACATTTTGTAAGATCAGCCACAAAACCTGGAAGTGTTGGACGCGATGTCCTGACTAGACCACCAGAGAATGCACTAATTTGGACTTCTGCTCCTTTGAACAGTCTCACAAAAACCTATTCTTATGAAAACTACATTAGAAAACCTGGATTGTACTTCAGCCTTTGCACTAAAATATATGTGGCCGTGGGAATTCACTTAGTATCTCTCAAATTTAGTTTTCCTGTCTGTAAAATGAAAATGATAAAATGTTCCCAATTTTCCTCAGAGATATTTTTAGTATCAAATAATTCAAGATATGTAAATATATAAGGCTTGACATTTGGTTAGGCCTCTGTCTGGATTTAAGCAGATTCTCTGTTACAGGTGAGACTAAAGGAGAAAAGTTTACTCCGGTGAATCACACCTGAAACTTTCCATGGATATGATGGAGACTTCATAGTAATAAGTCATATCACTAGAAACAAGAATGTATTTTTTTTATTTTTCACTGACATACTGTTTTTCTCTTCAACATACATATGCACAATTCTATACATACATGTGTGAATTTTCTATTCCATCCAATTCAGTGATCATTTATTCTCAATATTTTGTGTAAAGCAGAGAATACTAGCAACCAAAAGAATTGATGAATCAGTTATTTAAGATCTCTACCTTCTTAGATCTTATTTTAGACATAAAGGTAAAGAAATAATCACTTGATAAACTAATAAAATAAAAATTAAGAATAAATTTAAAATATAAGAAATGTCTCTAACATTTAAAATATATAGTGTAACTGAAAGGAAGAAACTCCTTCTTCTTGGAGATGTGAGGATGGTGAGACCGTGGGGGCAGGAGTATGTGTCCTTCATCTCAGGATCTCTATACCGGGCACCTAGTAGGTGCTCAATTTGCTAACCCTATGGAAGTGAGCTCTCATAAAGAGGGTAGCGTATGCTATGAGGCCCAGAGCCATCTGTACAGACCCCGACTTTGCCACCCATTAACTGTGAACTCCTGGGCAAAGTCTCTAATTGTTCTGAATTGAATCTGTATGTTGTGGGCAATGACTCCTCCCTTGCAATTTTACAAACTGTAAAATGAGAATAACATGTACTCGGTAGGGTTGGTTTAAGCATAAAATCAGCTGATGTATAAAAAGTTTTTAGCCTGGTGCCTAGAAGATGCCAGGTAGCAGTATCTTGAATATAAATATAATGGTGGCTGTATCTTAAAATTTGGAAAGGATTTTTGACTGTCAGAAATGAGGGTGGGACAGAGATGATACATTTCAGAAAGAAGGAACAGACAAAATATGCAGAGAATATATCCGAGTCAAATCAAAATGCCCAGTTTGAAATAGAAATTGTGATAAGAGATAATATTGGAAAAGTAAACAGATGGCAGATTGTGGCCTCAACTTAAAATGTCAGATTGAAGAGTTTCTATTTTAGGTAAGGTTTATGATCAGGGAAATGAGGAAATTACACACAGACTTTAGAGCTGTCCAGCAGTGGCATTTGAACATTCAATTTGAGTAATAATTTAAAATTTGGAAATTGTCCCTTACCTACTAGAATTACAGATGCTTAAAACTTTTGTTTAATTATTCTATTTAAAGAGGAAACCCTTAGTCTAATTTTAAATCTTGTTCTTCATCCTAAAAGTGGAGAGACCATATTAGGAAAAAAAAATGGTCTTAGACTCTATTATAATAAAGTCAAGGCACAGAGAAGTGAAATAGCACACTAAGCTCACAAGGTCAGTTAGTGGCATGGCCAGGACTAAACTCCACACTGAATTTTTCAATGGATAATTTCAGGCTTGAACACCTCCAACTGAATGAGAAAAAGTTTAAGAAATACATGAAATAGCTGTGGTTCACTCACCTGCAGCTTCCTATTTTAGATATCCTTGTAGTAATCATAGATATATAAATTCAAGTCAAAATACATTCTAAGACTGCAAAGATTTCATCAGGCCCTTGAGACAGCCTTGGAGAATTGAAGTTGGCGAGTTCTGGTGAGAAAGATTTATTGATAGAGTAGGAGGGAAATGCCAAGGTCTGGGCAGCTGAACCTCTGGTGCTTTCCAAAGCCAAGAGTCGCCGGGGACCACACCCAGCATCAGGGCCTGAAAGGGCAATCACCCAAGTAAGACATCCCAGTAGGATAAATTAAATGCTTCCTCATCACCATGTCATAGTTCCATAATTCAAAGATTACATTTGAAATCATCTGTCTCTAAAATTCTTTTTTCCTGCCTTTCTCTTGTATACTGTTTTATAACCCTACGATACAGATAAAATTTTAAATGTAAAACGATTCTCTGAAAAAGTAAAAGTCCAGCCAACCACTTCAAACCTATGCCCAGATTTGACTTTAATGTTCTCTACTAATTGCTTTTTGCACAACTATTCTTGTTAAAGATTTAAAAGGTCATTTAAACAGTGAATAATATTTAATACATATTAATAAGGTAAATTATATGCTGCACAAAATCCTCAAATTTGCTGATGTCTTAGAAAGATCCCTCAGAGATATGTAAATTCTACTGAATGGTTTGTATAGACTGATTTTGAGAAAATACATAGAGTTGAGGTATATGTGAGCTATCCAATCTCATCAGTCTTTCCTCCAGTAAATATTATCAATTTCTACATCATTTTCAATTGAGTTTTCTAAAAAATCTCATTTTCATATGCATTTTAATCATTAAGGATAAGCATTTCTTTGCCTTTTAAAAATTCTTCCATGACTTTCATGTTGGTATTAATGTCTTTTCTGTTCTTTGCCCAGATTTCCCATACAACATTTATTTTTGTAGCGTTTATCTAAATTACGAGTTATTTATTAAGAATATAGCTCTATTTGCACATACAAAAACACATATTACATGTACATAAGTATGTGTATGTATATATAAATAGGTAAATGTGCATTTGAATATGCGTTGATATGCATATTTATAATTTATATACATTATGTTCTTAACTGTTAGCAGTCAAAAATCACTTTTTTGTCTTTTAAATATTATTCCATTGTTTTTTTTTCTGTTTAAAAAGGCTTCACCCATTCCAATGTTCATCATATATCACCTAGTATGGATTGCTTTATTTAAAATTTTTCCTTTATTTTTAAATTTTCTATTTAAATCTACAGAGTCCAGGATTTTCTTAACTGAAGAGTTAAAGTTTTCTACTAAAAAAAAAAAAAAAAAAAAAAGGCTAAATTTCAGGCCAGGCATGTTGGCTCACACCTGTAATTCCAGTGTTCTGAGAGGTCAAGGTGGGAGAGTTGCTTGAGGCCAGGAGTTCAAGACAAGTCTGGGCAACTTACTGAGACTCCATTTCTTTAAAAAAAAAAAAAAAAAAAGTTAAATTTTCAATCTCTGTTTTTAGTGTAAATTACCACTTCGCTTTTGGTTTATGATTTTTACAAAATCATATACTAAGTTTGTCTATATATATATTAAACTTTGTTTTAAGAATTTTGATTCAATTCCATTGAAGATTCTGTCAATTCTATCGGTATGACCAAGCTCTACTTGTTTTTAAAATAATACACTTACATAGGTTTCACCGGTTCAAAATTAGCTGTAAATCCAGAAAATATTAGATAACGACGGTGATAGCAAACATTATTGTCTTGAGTCTCTGATTTTAATATTAAATATTGCTTTTTTCTTTGTTGAGGTAAGATCATTTTATTATTAGATGATTAAAGATATTGAAAGGTTTTTTGGTTGTTATTGCTTTGTTTCAAATCAGAACCTGGAAGAACACAAGGCACTTATTATGATTATCAACATTTTCTAACTCAGGAATGGAAAATAAAATATCGTTATGTTATCATTCATAAGTGAGAGCTAAGCTATGAGGATGCGAAGGCATAAGAATGATACAATGGACTTTGGACACTCAGGGGCAAAGAGTCGAAGGGGCTGAGGAATAAAAGATGACAAATTGGGTTCAGTGTATACTGCTTGGGTGATGTGTGCACCACAATCTCACTAAAGAGTTACTCATGTAACAAAATACCACCTGTTCCCCAAAAACTTATGGAAATAAGAAAAAAAATTCAAGATTATCAATATTTTCTAATAGAATCAATTTGTATGACATAAATTTGATAGATTGCTTAATTACACAAATTCTAGACTTTCTGGATGACGTTTTAATGTGCCATTGCTTTGGTTTGTTAGTGTCGGTTTTAGGACTTTTACATCTATATTGGTGAAATCAGTCTTCAGACTTTACTTTTCAAGCTATCTGGATAGGCTTTGGTATCAGAATTATACCTAATAAATAGGAGGTCCTCTCAAGATTTTCTGTATCGGGAATATTTACGTCTTGATGCTTTTTACAGAATTTACCAGTGATATAGACTTGGATCTTCTTTTGGAAGCAATTTCTTTCAAAGTTTTCATTTATTTGTGCTTTAAATTCCTCTTTGACTCAATACAAATTTTCTCTTAAAGTTGGTCCATTTTAGTATGACTTTCAAGTCATTATAGAGAAGTAATACATAGATTTTTAATAATTTCAAAGCTTTTATCACGTGTCGTTTCCTGCTTTGCAACATATTTTTTTCACAAATGGATGATCAATTGTGTCAAATGAAAAGATCATACGGTTGTGAGCTCTGAGAAGTTTTTACCTTGTAGCTTTCCAGCTGTTATTTGCTAGGCCTTGTGGAGTTCTACCCCAAACACTGGTGTTCAGTCAAACACTGAAGGTAACTTCCTATGAGAATTTATAGAGTTCTTTCTCTATATGACGCCCCTCCTCTCTGAAGATGTGTACCAAATAGTCTAAGTGCCTTCACCTCCCCAAACTCTCCTCAGCACAGTAAGACTACTGTGCTCTGTTAAGGATTCCCTTCTCTGACTTATAGTCTAGAAAGTGCCAACAGGGAGAACAATCAATGTAATTATAAGACTCACCTCATTTGTTTCTCTTCTATCAGGGATCATACTCAGCCTACCTATTGCCAATGTGTCCAAGCAGTAGTTTTTAAATATTTTTTTTTGTTTCTGGTTGTTTATAGCAGGGACTTAACCTGATCTCAGTTATTCTTCATGGCCAGTGTGGAAGTTTCTCATTTATTGGAGTTGTCGTTAATTCTAAGAATTCTTTTTTGACTCTAGCTATTTAGAAGACTTTTAAAAAATTGGTATATAAAATATAAGGTTGGTGTGTTTAAACTGCACATATTAATTTCAAATTTTATTATGCTGTGGTTAAAGGCATTTCTGTTGTTTTGAATTTGTTGACTTTTTCCCCAGAATTTTATATAATAAGTTCTTACAAAGCATGGATAGAAACAAAGAGGTTTTCTCTGGAGAGCGTAAGTTTTAATAAATATATATTAATTATATTTTAAAATTGTATTAGATGTACTTTTGGGGAAAAAAATGGCTGCCATCCTGACACTCTGATTTCCCCAACAGTTGTTTCTAAATGCCCCCTAATTTTTTTTAATGTTTTAACATTTTTTGTGGGTAAATAGTAGGCATATATATTTATGGGGTACATGAGATATTTTGGTACAGGCACACAATGCATAATAATTACATTATGGAAAATCTGGCATCCATCCCCTCAAGCGTTTATCCTTTTTGTTACAAACGATCCAACTATACTCTTTAATTATTTAAAAATGTAAAAGTAAATTATTATTTTCTATAGTCCTTCTGTTGTGCTATCAAATACTACGTATTATTCATTCTTTCTAATTTTTTTTTTTTTTTTACCCATTAATCATCCCCAAATCCCTCTCATCTGCCCAGTAAGTTTCTCAGACTCTGGTAGTCACTCTTCTATGCTCTATGTCCATGAGTTCGATTGGTTTAATTTTCAGTTCCCACAAATAAGTGAGAACATGCAATGGTTGTCTTTCTGTGCCTGACTTGTTTTACGTAACATAATGATCTCCAGTTCCATCCATGTCATTGAAAATGACAGAATCTCATTCTTTGTTATGGTTTAATAGTTTTTTATTGTTTATAGGTACCACATTTTTCTTTTTCCACTCATCTGTTGATGGACACTTACTTAGGTGGCTTCCAAATCCTGGCTGTTGTGAACAGTGCTGCAATAAACATGGGAGTGCAAATTTCTCTTTGATATACCGATTTCCTTTCTTTTGTGTATATATCCAGCAGTGGGATTGCTATATCGTATGGTAGCTCTATTTTTAGTTTTGTGAGAAACTTTTAAGCTGTTTTCCATAGTGGTTGTAGTATTTTACATTCCCCTCAAAAGTGTAAGGGGGTTCTTTTTGCTCCATGCCCTCATCAGCATTTGTTATTGCTTGAATTTTGGAAAAAAAAGCCATTTTAACTGGGGTGAGATGACATCTCACAGTAGTTCTGCTTGCATATCTCTGATGATCAATGATGTTGAGCACTTTTTCATACACCTGTTTGCCATTTGCATGTCTTCTTTTGAGAAATGTCTATTAAAATATTTTGCCTATTTTTAATCAGATTATTAGATTTTTTTCCTATAGAGTTGTTTTGAGCTATTCTGGTTATTAATCCCTTGTCAGATGGGGTAGTTTGCAAATATTTTCTCCCATTCTGTGGGTTGTCTTGTCACTTTGTTGATTGTATTCTTTATTGTACAGAAGCTGTGTAACTTGATGTGATCCCATTTGCCCGTTTTTGCTTTGGGTGCCAGTGCTTATGTGGTATTTCTCAAGAAATTATTGCCTAGACCAATGTCCTGGAGTGTTTCCCCAATGTTTTCTTGTAGTAGTTTCATAGTTTGGGGTTTTAAATTTAAGTATTAAATCCATCTGTATTTGATTTTTGTATAAGGCTAGAGGCGGGGTCAAGTTTCATTCTCCTGCATATGGATATCCAGTTTTTCCAGCACCATTCATTGAAGAGACTGGTTTTCCCCCCAGTGTTTATTCTTGGTACCTTTGTAGAAAATGACTGTAGATGTGTGGATTTATTTCTGGGTTCTTTATTCTGTTCCATTGGTCTATGTGTCTGTTTTTATGCCGGTATCATGCTGTCTTGGTTACTGTAGCTCTACAGTATAATTTGAAGTCAGGTAATGTGATTTCTCCAGTTTTGTTCTTTTTGCTCAGAATAGCTTTGGCTATTCTGGGTCTTCTGTGGTGTAAGAATTGTTTTTGCTATTTCTGTGAAGAATGTCATTGGTATTTTGATAGAGATTATACTGAATCTGTAGATTGCTTTGGGGAGTATAGACATTTTAACCATATTTATTTTTCCAATCTATGAACATAGAATATCTTTCCATTTTTTGTGTCCTCTTCAATTTCTTTCATCAGCGTTCTCTAGTTTTGATTGCAGAGATCATTTGCTTCTTTGGTTAATTACTCAGTATTTAATTTTCTTTGTCGCTGTTGTAAATGGGATTACTTTTTAAATTTTTTTTCAGATTGTTCATTGTTGACATATAGAAATGCTACTGATTTTTTATGTTGATTTTGTATCCTACAACTTTACTGAATTTGTTTATCAGTTCTAATAGTTTTTTGGTGGAGTCTTCAGGTTTTTCCAAATATTAGATATTATCATCTGCAAACAAGGTTAATTTGACTTCTTGCTTTCCAATTTGGAAATCAGAAAATCTAGAATAAATAGATACATTCCTAGACAAATCCTTTATTTCTTTCTCTTTTCTGATTCCTCTAGCTGAGACTCCCAGTACTATGTTGAATAACAGGGGTGAAAGTGGGCATCCTTGTCATGTTCCAGATCTTAGAGGAAAGGCTTTCAGCTTTTCCCCATTTACTGTGGGTTTGTCATATATGGTTTTTATTATATTGATGTTTGTTCCCTCTATATTCAATTTTTGAGGTTTTTTTTTTCATGAAAGGATGGTTGAATTTTATCAAATACTTTTCAGCATCAATTGATATGATCATATGGTTTTTATCCTTCATTCTGATGATATAATGTATACATTGATTGATTCATATATGTTGAACCATCCTTGCATCCCTGGGAGAAATCCCACTTGGTCATGATGGATAATCTTTTTAATGTATTCTTGAATTTGGTTTGCAAGTATTTTATTAAGTGTTTTTGCATCAATATTCATCAAGGATATTGGCCTGTAATTTCTTTTTTTTTATGTGTCTTTGTCTGGTTTTGGTATCAGGGTAATACTGGCCTCATAGAATGAGTTTGGAAGTATTCCTTCCTCCTCTATTTTTCAGAACAGTTTGAGTAGGGTTAGTATTAGTTCTTCTTTAAATATTTGGTAGAATTCAGCCATGAAGTTATTGGATCCCAAGCTTTTCTTTACTGGGAGACTTTTTATTATGGCTTTGATCTCGTTACTTGGTCTGGTCAGGTTTTGGATTTTTTCTTAGTTCAATCTTGGTAGGTTGTATTTGTCTAGGAATGTATCTATTTATTCTAGACTTTCTGATTTATTGGCATATAGTTGCTCATATTAGTCACTGATGATCTTTTTAATTTCTGCAGTATCTGTCATAACATCTTTTTCACCTCTGATTTTATTTATTTGGGTCTTCTGTCTTTTTTTCTTAGTCTGGCTAAAAGTTTGTCAATTTAGTTTAACTTGTCAAAAAAACAACTTTTTATTTTGATTTTTGTATTTTTTATTCATTTTAAATTCATTTATTTCTTATCTCATCTTTATTATTCATTTTCTTCTAGTAATTTTTTCATTTGGTTTGGTCTTGGTTTTATAATTATTTAAGATGCATCATTACATTATTTACTTAAAGTTTCTCCTCTTTTTTGATGTAGCTACTTATAGCTATAAATGTTTCTCTTGAGTACTGCTTTTGTTGTAGCCCATAGGTTTTTCTATGTTGTGTTTCCATTATTTGTTTCAAGAAATTTTTTCAATTTCCTTCCTAATTTCTTCATTGACCCACTGGTCATTCAGGAGCATATTGTTTAATTTCTTTGTGTTTGTGTTGTTTCCAAAATTCCTCTTGTTACTGATTTGTAGTTTTATTCCACTGTGGTTAGAGAAGATACTTGATATTATTTTAAATTTTTTGAATGATTTAAGGCTTGTTTTATGGTCTAACATATGGTCCATTTTTTAGAAGGATCCATGTGCTGAGGAGAAAAATGTGTATTCTATAGCTACTGGATGAAATGTCCTGTAAATATCTATTAGGTCAATTTGCTCTATAGTGCAGATAAAGTCTGATGTTTCCTTGTTGATTTTCTGTCTAGGCGATCTGTCCAATGCTGACAGTGGGGTGTAGAAGTCACAAGTTATTATTATCTTGAGATCTACCTTTCTCTTTTGCTTTAATAATATTTGCTTTATATATCTGTGTGCTCCAGTGTTGCGTGTGTATGTATTTATAATTGTTATATCCTTTGTTGAATTGACCCCATATCATTATATAATGACCTTCCTTGTCTCTTCTTACAGTTTTTTTTCTTGAAATCTATTCTGTCTGATATAAGTATAGATACTCCTGCTCTTTTTTTGTTTCCATTAGCATGGAATATCTTTTTCCATCCCTTTGTTTTCAATCTATGTGTATCTTTATAGATGAAGTGTGTTTCTTTTAGGCAACAGATTGTTGGGTCCTGTTTATTCATCCACTCAGCCACTCTATGTCTTTTGATTGGAGAGTTTAGACCATTTACATTCAGTGTCATTATTGATAAATGGGGACATACTCCTGCCATTTTGTTATTGGTTTTTCTGGTTGTTTTGTGGTATCCTCTTCCTTCTTTTCTTCTTTCCTGTCTTCCTTTTAGTGAAGGTGATTTTCTCTACTGATATGCTTTAATTTCTTGCTTCCTATTTTTTGTATATCTGTTGCATGTTGTTTGAGATTACCACGAAGCTTGCAAGTGCTATCTTATAACCCATTATTTTAAACTGATGACAACTTAACACTGATTGCATAAACAAACATGCAAAAAGAAAATAATAAAAACACTACACTTTATCTCTCTGCTTTTTAACGTTTTATTGTTTCTGTTTATGTCTTATTGTACTGTCTGTGTCTTCAAAAGTTGTTGTAGTTATTACTTTTGATTAGCCCATCATTTAGTCTTTATACTTAAGAGAAGTTTATGTGTCACAATTACAGCATTATATTAATCTGTGCTTTTCTGTGTGCTTACTATATAATATTACCAGTGAGTTTCGTACCTCCACATGATTTCTTCTTGCTCATTCACATATTTTTCTTTCAGATTGAAGAATTCCCTTTAGCATTTCTCGTAGGACAGGTCTGGTGTTGATGAAATCCTCAACTTTTGTCTGGGAAGGACTTTATTTCTCCTTCTTGTATAAAGGACATTTTCAGTGGATATACTATACTATTCGAGGGTACAAGTTTTTTTTCTTTCAGCAATTGAAATGTCATGGCACACTTTCTTGGGCTGTAAGGTTTCCACTGAAAAGTTAGCTGCCAGACGTATTGGAGCTCTATTATATGGTATTTGTTTATTTTCTCTTGCTGCTTTTAGGATCCTTTCTTTATCATTGACCTTTGGGAGTTTGATTATTAAATGCCATGAGGTAGTCTTCTTTGGGTTAGATCTGCTTAATGTTCTATAACCTTCTTGTACTTAAATATTAATGTCTTTCTTTAGGTTTGGGAAGTTCTCTGTTATTGTCTCTTTGAATAAACTTTTTACCTTTATCACATTCTCTGTCTCCTCTTTCATGCCAACAACTCTTAGATTTTCGCATTTGAAGCTATTGTCTAGATCTTGTAGGCTGCTTCGCCACTTTGTATTCTTTTTTCTTCTCTTTCCTCTCTGTATTTTCAAATAGGCTGTCTTCAAGTTCACTAATTCTTTCAAGCAGAAGCTTGATCAATTCTGCTATTAAAAGTCTCTGATACATTCTTAAACATGTCAATTGCATTTTTCAACTCTATAATTTCTGCTTGATTCTTTTTAATTATTTCAATCTCTTTGTTAAATTTATCTGATAAAATTCTGAATTTCTTCTCTGTGTTATCTTGAAATTATTTGAGTTACTTCAAAACAGCTATTTTGAATTCTCCGTCTGAAAGGTCACATATCGGTTTCTCCAGGATTGGACCCTGGTGGCTCATATAGTTCATTTGGTGAGGTCATGTTTTGTAGATGGTGTTGATGCTTGTAGATGTTCTTCAGTGTCTGAACATTGAAGAGTTAGGCACTTGTAATCTTCACAGTAGGCTTGTTTGTGCCTGTCCTTCTTGGGAAGGCTTTCCAGGTATTCAAAGGGACATGTGCCCCACGCCTAATAATGCTGTGCTTTTTGCCGACTTGCCTTGGTCTTCGATAGGATCCAAAAGAATTTTCTGGATTACCCAGAAAAGATTCTTGTTCTTTTCCCTTACTTTCTCCCAAATACTCAGGGTCTCACTCTCTCTGTGCTGATCCACCTGGAACTGGTGTGCACAGTGGGAGTAAGGCAAGCACCCCGTGGCCACCACCACTGGGACTGAACTGGGTCAGACTTGATGCCAGCAGAGCACTGGGTTTTGCCCAAGGCTTTTTCCTTCAGGATAGTGAGTCCCCCAGGCCCTGGGTATGTCCCCAGATGCTGTCTAGGAGCCAGGAATTGGAGTCAAAAGCCTTACCTGATGTTCTGTTCTACTGCAGCTAAGCTGGCACTCAAAGCACAATACAAAGTCCTTCCCACTCTTCCCTCCCTTACCAAAGGCAGAGGAGCCTCTTTCTGTGGCCACCACCACCACCAGTCCATGGGGGGTTCTGCCAGGCCACTGCTGATGTTTGCTTAAACCCCAAGGACTCTTCTATCAGTTTGTGGTGAATACTGCCAAGCTTGGGACTCACCCTTTAGGGCAGTGGCCTCCCTTATAGCCCAGGGCAGGCCCAGATATGCTGTCCAAGAGCCTAGGCCTGGACTTGGGCCTACTTGTTGCTATATCTCACTGTAACCAAGCTGGTAACTAGGGTGCAATAAAAAGTTTCTTTACTCTTCCCTCTGTTTTTCTCAAACAGGAGACTTTCATTGTAGCCACCACAGCTGGGAATATGCTGAGTCTCTCCTAAAGCTAGCATGTCTCAGAGCCCAAGGCCCATGGCATATTCCCTGAGTATCACTGCTGGTTATTCAAATACCAAGGTCTCTTTAGTTAGCAGGTGATGAATCCTGCCAGGACTGGGTCTTTTCCTTCAAGACACTGGCTCTCTTTTGGCCCAGGGTGAGTCTAGAAATGTCATCCAGGAACTAGGGCCAGGAATGGGGGTCTCACAACTCTGCCTGGTACCCTATCCTACTATGGCTGAGCTGATATCCAAGATGCAAGACAAAGTCTGCTTTACTCTTCACTCTCCGCCTCTTAAGCAGAAGGAAGGAGTCACTTTCATTGCTACAAGCTGCACTGCCTGGGGCTGGGGGAGGGATAGTGCAAGTCCTCCCTTACCCATGCCAGCTGATGTCTCCCTAGGTCACATGCCACCCCAGTTCACTGGCTCGAAGCCCACGCTAGCACTAGCAGTTGCTTAGGAATTACAGTCCTGTGCCCTAGACTGCCTTTCAAGTTTACCTAGGACTATAGAGCACTTCAGTCTGCAGTGGTGAGGCTTGGTAAGAAACTCATGTTCTGAGTGCTGGGATGGGTGATTCTTCTCTGGCTAGGGCTGGTCCAAATGGTCCCTCTGTGTGCAGGCACTGGCCGAGCCTAGCATGGCTTTATTCTCTGCTTTGACAGGGCAGCACTGAGTTCAATGCCGAGTCTCCCAGTCGCTGTACTCTCCCTCCCCAAAGTGCACAGATTCTACATGCTTCACAGCCACTGCAAGGGAATAGAGGAAAGATGGCAATGGTGATTCTAGATTGTCTCTCCTGGCTTCCTCAATGCCACTTTCCATGATATTAAGTTAACACCAGGTACTGCGATTGCTCACCCGCTTTTTGGTTCTTGTGAAGGTGCTTTTCTGTGTGCAGATGGTTGTTAAAAATTTGATGTTACAGCAGAGAGGGACAAAGAATGTAGGCTTCTATTCCACCCTCTTGCTCCACCTTCAACCTTCAAAATTTTAAATGGAATATATGCAAAGAGAACATACAAAAAACAAATACTCTTTAGCCCTAGCTAGGATGTTGTTCCTAAATCATTATGTAGTCTCTCAGCCTTGGAAAATGTATTGAAAATGAATAAGCTGCATATAAAATTAGTAAAAGCCCCAAGGAAATTAGATTTCTTTATATATGTCATTGCTAGTCAAATGACAGTGGTAGTCTTGAGCACTGAGTTTAAAAAAAAAAAAAAAAGACCACACCACATCTGAATTTTTTGGAGTCCCATAATGCAGAAGTTATGCCTGCCATGGATATGCATACAAGAGTAAATGCAGTAACCCCACCTATGTATCATCCCTCGGTCAAACCATTTCTTACCTACTCTCTCCTAATTTTCTTAACTGACCTTCTAAACAGGAGTCAGAAAAATCTTCTAAGTAGAAAAATATCTCAGGTCCTTGTTAACTAATCAGTAACATGAGAGGCATCCCATAATGGAGATATAACACACACAAAAAATTAAGCACTTTATATAAAAAACACAGCTTTTCTCCTTCTTGCAAAAGCTCTGTCTAGTGGTATCTGTCAGTAACTCCTATGTAAATTTCCATGTAAATTGTTTTTGTTTCTTTGGGGAAGAGAAAATGAGTTAGAAGTGATTTTTACTTTATGAGAAAACTTTGCTTACTATGAATAACTGAAAGGCTTGCTTCTTTATAATAAGCATTGTTTAACATACATTGAAAACTGTATAACTCTACTATTATATTTATGTTAATTTTGGCTACTTGGAAACTCAGACAGATATGAAGATCAAACATTGCAACTACTTTGGATTTTATGATCCATCTGTGTTTTTATTTTGACTGGTCTTGACTCACTTTTATTGTTTATATTTTCCTTATTTTGAAATTTTTATTTTAACTTTATTAAAATATATCATCCTCAAGCATCACACTTTCAATTCAACAGCAAATCTTATTTATTCACAGTCAGAAATGTATCTTGAATCTATTTTTTTTTATTTCTACTGCTATTCCTGGAACTAAAATCACATTGTTTCTTACCAAAATAAGTTTAACAGCATCAAAAGTACCCTCTCTGCTTCCACTCTGGCCAATAGCACTATCTTTCCCTATCTAACCCTTCCCACAAACATACACACACATAAATATCTATCTATTTTCTAATCAATAACCAGAAGATATTTTTCAAATGTAAAACAGATTACATCGCTCTGCTTTTGAAACATTCCAATTGCTTCTCATTGTACTTAGGATAGAATTAAAACTCCCTAAGTGATCTAGAGTTTGCCTACTTATCCAACCTCCTTTGGTTCCTTTTCTCCCTCTCTCACTGACCGTCTGCCATACTGCCTTCTCCGTTTCTTGAATATGGCCAAGTTTGTTCCAGCCTTCGACTTTGTACTTGCCGCTGCCTTTCTGGTTTCTGCATAACTGTACCCTTTTCTTCATTTAGGTTTCATTTCAAATGTCCTTTCTTCAAAGAGCTCTATTGAGAGTAGAATTTGAACCACTGAAAATTACATAACTCATTTTTTCCAAAGGACTTATCTATAATTATGTTTGTTCACTGAACTACCTCTGTATTATCTATCATCTTTTTCACCCCCTAAAAGTAAAGAGATACCTTGTCTATCATATTCACCATAATATTCCAACACTCAGAACAGTGCCTGGCACATGGTGTCCATGATAAGCATATGCTGAACAAATGAATTAGCTAATACATCACATTCCCCATACAGCATACTATCTTGGTTCACTGTATAGGTTCATTCTTAAAAATCATAAGCTTTTTCATTATCTTTATCTCAAAACATGTGGAGGAAATTAAAGACACCTAGTTACAGCTTACAAAGAAAATACCAACTCAAAAGAAACAAACAGAAAGTTACAAAATACTGCACATATACTGGTCATGCTGAAAAAAAACAAGACATTTTAATAAGGTTATAAACATCATCTCTTCATCTAGTCATTGTTAAATCTTATTTTTGGATCAACAGCTGCCAAATACTGAGACCATATTAGCTTAGTCCTTTGTTGAATCTTCTTCATTGCATTACACTGTAAGACAATACTGGCTTTCAAGAAGCCCTTTATAAGAAACAATCAAGAAAAATTCTCCCACAGTTATTACAAAATTGTTGTAATAATTTCCATCACGCTGCTCAATTTTTTTTGAAATTAGGTGTGGTTTTCTTCTGATATGACTATGCAGTACACCATGATGATGATTTCCTTTTGGGCTTGGATTCAGGAAACTAAAGATAAAAATTGTTGTTCAATCCCAGCAAAGGTATTAACTTTAAATTTAAAATATTTTTTACTTTTCACTTTCATATATGTTGTTTTACATGTTATTAATGTAATTATCTGTGCATATATTTACTAATCTAAATATATATAATTTCATCTGATTTCAAATTACTTTTTTTTTTTTT
Source organism: Homo sapiens (assembly GCF_000001405.40). Classification (NCBI taxonomy): domain Eukaryota; kingdom Metazoa; phylum Chordata; class Mammalia; order Primates; family Hominidae; genus Homo; species Homo sapiens. The sequence goes on along the minus strand of NC_000011.10, from coordinate 123,907,756 downwards.
TTTTTTTTTGAGACAGACTTTCACTCTTGTCACCCAGGCTGGAGTGCAATGGTGTGATCTCGGCTCACTGCAACCTCCGCCACCCGAGTTCAAGCAATTCTTCTGCCTCAGCCTCCCAAGTAGGTGGGATTACAGGTGCCCACCACCATGCCCTGCTAATTTTTTTGTAATTTTAATAGTGATGGGGTTTCATCATCTTGGCCAGGCTGGTCTTGAACACCGGACCTCGTGATCCACCCAACTCGGCCTCCCAAAGTGCTGGGATTACAGGCGTAAGTCACCGTACCTGGACCTCAAATTACTTTTAAATAGTCAAGGTATAAATATATACATATAATCATGATTATGAATACAGAAATAGATCTTAATAAAGAGCATATTTATCCTGGAGATAAAGATATTTTTCTTCTTAAAAGTTTCATCAGAGCATTTCTTACTTCATTGTTCCTCAGACTATATATCAAGGGATTCAACATGAGAATCACAGTGGTATAAAATACTGAGGATACTTTCTCCTGGGTGAGTGAACTGCTAGAAGCAGGTTTGAGATACATGGACATCAGAGACCCATAAAACATAAGAACAGCTGTCAGGTGGGAGCTACAGGTGCTAAACGCTTTGCACCTGCCCTTTTTAGAGTGGATGCGCAGGATGCTGGTGAGGATAAAAGCATATGAAATAATGATTGTTAGGCTTGTGGCCACCATGTTAAATCCACCAATGACAAAAATCAAAAGCTCATCAATATAAGTGCTGGAGCAGGAGAGTTTAATAAGAGGGACAATGTCACAGAAATAATGTTTAATGATGTTTGATCCACAGAAAGACAACCTGAGTATACAACCTCCATGGATCACAGCATCAGTGAAACCTACTGAGAAGACAGCAGCCACCAGCAGAGAACAGACCCTAGGGGACATGATGACCCTGTAGAGCAGTGGGCTGCAGATGGCCACGTAGCGATCGCAGGCCATGGCTGCCAGCATGTAGCATTCAGAAATAACACAAACACAGAAAAAAAACAGCTGAATCATGCATCCAGAATAGGAGATGGATCTATCTCTGCATAAAAACCCTGATAGCATTTTAGGGGTAATGACAGAAGAATAGCAGAAATCTAAAAAAGACAAACTACTCAGGAAATAGTACATGGGGGTATGAAGTTGACGATTCAGCCTAATAATTGAGATCATGCTGAGGTTTCCCACCACAGTAACTGTGTAAATTCCTAAGAAGAGGCAGAAGAGGGGCAGCTGAAGCTCTGCTTGTTCAGTTAATCCTGAAAGAAGAAACTCAGTCACTGTGGAATGGTTTTTTACACCCATTCTTCTCTGAGAAATCTGTGGAGATGAGAGAGAAAAAGTCAAATTCTATCAGTGTTTGTTTCTATAGAAAACAAATATCAGTGTTTTCTCTCTATGAAAACACTGACTTTGTGTTACGAAAACCAAAAAGTGAACACTCAGATGAAATGGAGTCGGTAAGCATCTACCTACCTATAGATTTTAGGAACCAGAAACACACTTTTCCATACCCTCCAGTGGAACAAATTCTCTTAGCAAACGACAGAACCTTTTACTCCAGAGTTAGAGACAAAACTAATGCTTAAAACCAGGGGATTTCTGTTGTGGAGAAATGCCAGCCACTGGAGTAAAAGAATTTAGCAAGACAGTTGTAGGTAAAGGAAGACAGACTAATTAGAGAAAGTAGGAAAATACGTTGCCAGGGAGACAACGAGCTACTCAGCAGAAGCTGACTGCAAAGATACAAAGCCTTGCTGAAAATTTTATAGGATGATATTTATGCTGTTTGTTGAAGAGGGCTTTGTGCAGTACTGATAACACCAAGGTTGCAGGGAGCTAATTTGCAGGTGTCTGGTGATAGTTGGATGCAGGAAGACTGTGAGTTATTTGTGCAGGAGGGCTGTGTGTCCTGGGCCATGAAGAAAGGCAGACTTGTAGCTCATCTGCTTTCTCTTTTTGCTTTTCCCTGCTCCCACCAGCCTGACTCCCCTTCCCTAATTAGGACTCCACAGTTTCTTAAAGCAAATTAGTTAAGTAGGTGCATAAACTAGAGGCTGAGGACTATGAGAATACTTTTGCTAGTGACACATTTGCCAAAGGCTGACTCTTCCTCCAGGATTTCCTATAGAGAAGGTATCTACTGTTAAGGTGAATTATAATTTTCTACATCAAGGTTTCCAAGGGTGTTCAGCAAAAGAATAATTCCAGGGAGATGTTAAAAGGTGTTACATTAAATAAGTATCTGAGGATCATATGACTTCAGACATCCTGAATTACATAGTTAAACTGGTTTTGTAACTGGAGGATGCCTCAGTCCTCCTGAAGGACTATATAAATACAATATTTATCAAACTTACTTGGTGATAGGCCAACTTCACACTTTTTAAAAACATTTTATAGCACAAGCATGGCTCAGAATGTATTTTAGAAAACTATATTTTCATTTGTGTGTTTGTTCTATTTTTAATCTAATCATACATTGATTTCCAGGTGGGAAATTAATTCGTACACTTGAGTAAAAAGCTGGATGATAGTAGAATGGCAGACTTCCCAAAACTGTTTCTACCTTCTGGATCTCTGGCCATCCTCCAGGCTAAGGCTACATCTCTCGCCAAGGCCATGGAGTCCAATATAACACACTAGTGCTGCCACTACTGGCAATGCAAGCAACCCAGATGTTTTTGTTGCCACTTGGAGGCTCCCACATAGCACACATCTTGGAATCGTCTATTCTGGGGTCAATCATGGCCTTATCTCTGAGAAAGCTGACCCTTTATTTAGTGTTGGGCCTCTCCCAGAGCTCACTCCAGACTCTCATATTTGCCCAAATGGCTCAATTGTCTAGGGTTGCATTTTCTCATTCTGCCCAGCTACCTGGCTATTTAATAAGCTGTTCATGTCTTCTTGTTTCCAATATATTACTGCTGTAATAGGACAAGCCAAACTTCCGTAGGCAGCTTGAGTTCCCAGGATGCAGGTGACTCCTTATTTCCCAAATCCTTCTCACAGTTTAAAACAAATAAGCTGCATGAGCACTGAACAGCTATTCTCTGAGCAGGCTTCCCCATTCTTCAGAACCTGTGTCTTTTGTATCTGCTCCTCTCTCATCCTAAATGATGGAGATGGAAGATCACGTGCAAAAGTGAGTGTCCAATTGCTCTTTGCCTGTTACAGAAATACCCGGAGTCTTCCTTTCCCATTACTCCTTACCAGTTAGCATTCATGTGTGTAGTCTAGTCACAGAGGCTTATCGAAGTAATGTTCAAAAAACCTATATGCTCAGTTTTTTGTCTTTAATATCATGGGTTTTTTAAAGCATGTTTTAAAATCTGTCCTGAGTGTTACAAACACACTGACCACTCTTATATTTAATTCTCCTGCATGCCCCCTAATTCCTACTGGGCTCCCTCTCCAAGTAAAATGTCTTATTCTGCTCATGTTCCTTGTTTTATTCTAGTGTCCTGCACTGTTCTTCCCTCTTCTCAAGCCTGTGAGGTTTCTTTTTCCTGTGTTCTCACTTTCTAAAACATTTCTGTGGTTTAGGTTTGTACTACACAGTGTGGTCTATGAACCAGTAGTAGCAGTATCACTCAGAGATTTTTTTAGCAATGCACAGTCTCAGGCCCTACCTCACACCTGCTGAGTGAGGATCTACATTTTAGTGGGATTCTCACATGATTTGTGAGTGCATTAACATTTGAGAGGCGCTATTTTCAGTTATTTTCTCCTAGAGCTGAAGTCATCGATCTTCTTTCTTGTTTCCTTCTCTAAACTTTTCTGATTCATTTTGTGCCAGAAAGCATTACCTGATTATGTAAAGCCCATCTTTGAAGACATCTTCTCAAGGAAAGCCTTCTCAGATGAAGAATAGAAAGTGTACAATTTTACATTTCAGTATTTTGCCACCTATTTGAAAACTCACAGATTCCATGGCAGTGTAATGTGCATGTCAAATAGATTATTGCAACAAATTGTATTCTGTTTTTGCATTTGTAGGAAGAAAAATTATACACATTCCATCTTAGTCCACACAAAAGTAAGCAATGATAACCAGCATCTACTTTATTTAACCAACCGATAAACAGTAAACTTGACTAGCCTAGGGATACAAATTTATGAGGTTGTATTTCTGACCAAAATAATCTACTACATTGATTCAGACCTCATTCAGGACTCAGGTGGTTTTTAGCAATTTAAAATCATAAGAAAAGTGTTTTTAAACATTTCAATGCATCTCACAGTATTATTAAAACTATGACTATTGAAAGTATTTTGCAAAGGTAAATGCTAGATCAGCATTGCCCAATAGACATATAATGCAGACACACGGGCAATTTAAAACATCCTAGAAGTTCATTTTGTAAAAAGTCAGAATAAAAAGATAAAATACATTTTACTAGTATGTTTTGTTTAACTCAGTTCAGTCCTTGATATCCATAGGAGACTGGTTCCTGGACCCCTTCAGATACCAAAATCCCTGAATGCTCAAGTCCCTGATTTAAAATGGTGTCGTATTTTTATGTAACCTAACTAAGCACATCCTTTTGTATACTTTAAATCATCTCTAGATTACTTATAATACCTAATATAATGTAAATGCTAAGTAAATATTTCTTTTAGTATATTGTTCAGGGAATAACAAGAAAAATGTCTGTACATATTCAGTACAGATATAACCACCCATTAAAAAAAAATCTTCCATCTGCCATTGGTTGAATCCACAGATGTGGAACCCACAGACACACAGGCCAACTGTACATGCAAAATGATGTACATGTACATCATTTCAACATATAATTCATATTTTAAAAATAATGAGATATTTTACATTATTTTATTATACAAATCTTTGAAATCCATAGTGTATTTTATACCCGGCCAGATTTCAAATGCTCAGTAGCCACCTATGGCTAGTGGCTATATTACTGGACAACAGAAGTCTAGAATGTGATCTTTTTCCCTAAATCTTTCAAATCTGAATTGTCCCCTTTTAAAGAAAGAAACCATTAGTACAGAGGTAACAGAAAGACCATGAACCCTGAGTTATAAGATGCAGTATCATTTTCATTTCTAAGATTTACAGTGCAACCTTTGACTCATAAAGTCTCTCTGAACTTCATATTTTAATCTGTAAAAAATAATAAATACTTCAAAAGATTGTTATGCAAATCAAATGAGACAATAACTGTGAATGTATTTTACATATTATAAGGTTCACATAAATATATTTGTAAATATATTTTTAAAGCAGGTGATTTCACAGATTAATTCATATATTAGACACAAGATACTTAGGTAAGGTGACTGGACAATGCATAAATGAGTCTGAGATGGATGCCTATGGCCTCTTCCCTAAACTTCTGTGACTCAGTGGCCTCAAACATGCAGCTCGAGAACCCATGGGGACAATCGGGAATTGATTTCAGAACACATTTTAATATACTTATAATATGAACATCATAATTCTGAAGCTCACCTTTTTCCTCCTGAAGACTGTAGGTGAGTATCTCTTCTTTCTCCTAACCTCATCACTTCAGGAGTAGAGATGGATTGATTTTACCTTCTTCTTTAAGTGTCTGAGTGACAACAGCTAACAAGAAGCTATGACTTTTATTCTCAGTTCAGGTATTTTGTGTCAAGAAATATAAAGACCAGTAGTCCCAAGGGTTTCTTGTCTCCTGAGGTACAGCAGCCTATGTATTTGTAAGAACTATCCATGAACTGGCCTATCATTTTGGGAATCTAACATGGATTAGTCACACTAATGCCCCTTGCCATTCAGTCGGGGAAGATACATGGTCTAACACATGGCTTGCATTTTAAAATGTTGAACAAATGAGGCATCATAGACAGTGCTTGGTATAATAAGCAGTAGGTAGACTTTGAGGTCAGAGATGGAACAGGTCATTACTGTCTAGAGCGATAAGGACGATCTTCATGGAAAGGTAGATTGTAAAATATGCCTTCAAAGGTGGGGAGGATCCATTTAAGCTGAGAGGATATGAAAGAATATTCAAGACGTAGATAAAGGCATAAGCAAAGGAACTGAGAAGTAGAAAACCTAAGGAATATGTGAAGAACACTGGGAATAGCTGAAGTGTTTCTTGGATGAAAGCAGTAGATTCAGTGTTTCTAGTGTCTGCTAATGATGGAAGAAGAGTCAGAGGAATGAGTCTGAGTCCAGCCCTCCAGTCTGTTCTAATGGCTTTCCAGGACATCTGGAAGAATGTGCCTGGTGATCCTTGGGTGAGCCTTTTGTGGCTCTGTTAAAATAACACATGCACTTAAAGCCTCCACATTTTCAGGGGCAAACAGCTATATTCAGATCTGCCTTTGGGGAAAACTGTGACACCACTTCAGATTATCTCATAATCAATAGTGTCTACCATGTCAAAGACACTAAATTTCTGGAGATGGAGCCAGGATAAATAAAGCATGGTCCTTCCCCCATTCATATTGGATGGTTATTAAAACATGTTTTAATGTCAATTTATTTCCTTGGGAAAAGTGCTTTGGTACCATTCCTATTCCCTTAACTATTCTCCCAGTGTACTGACCTCTGCTTTAACATTGTCCCCCCATACATGTATTTGTGCCTGTCTTCCCTGCTCTTTGGGAATTGCCCCCCCGCCGTTGAGACAAGGGACAATTTCTCATTCATTAGGGCCTATCGCAATGACCGGCTTAGAGTAGAATTTACTTTTTTCAGCATCATCCTCATTCCTACCCAGCATCTAGTTCAATCAGAACACTTTGTTCTCTCCTGTCTAGAAGATCGTGATCTGAAATGCTGATTAAAATAGGCCAACTTACAGGAGAGGATTTTCACTTACTAGATAAATAACAAAATGAGATCAATTCTTAACCAGGGGAAATCAGTCATGAATGAGGAAGCTTATGGTATTAGAAGAGCAGATATGTAACACACAATATTCTTGCTTATTCTTAAAATCAAATATTATAAATAACCATCAATCCTACTTATACTTGTCCAAGCAAGCTTATTGCATAGAGGCCTACTGGAGTCAAATGCTTAAAACACAAAACTTCAGCTATAGTCTAGATACCCATTACCAGCCTGTGAATTATACATATTATGAATAATGTTTAGTGAAGTAAATCCCTGTTATGATCATGTGTGTAAGCGAGAGTGTGTGTGTGTATGTATTGCTGCCTCACTATGCAAATAGTTTATTTTGAAACTAAAAAATATTAGTGATTTGCTACACAAATATAATATGGAGCATATCTGATTGCAAAAAAACAAAAAAAAAGCAAATGAAGAAATATAATCCAAAGGCAAAGAGAAATGTTCAGATTATATGTTAGTCTTCTTTGTTAATGTGGGTAAGTCAAAGTTAACTTAGCTATAGCAATCTCTTTATAGTTATGTTAGAGATTCCTTTCAATGTGTACAGGAAGTTTTTGGTCAGAAATGAGAAAAGTATAAAGTCAGGTGGGCTAGTATAAAGCTGGGAATCTAAAGAGGTTGTTTTGTTGTTCTTCTTGTTGTTATTGCTATCTGGGCTTTTGTTTATTTTTAGTTTGTAACCCTTCAGCTAGGGCCTTCTGAGTACTCAGTAGGAGTGTCTAGGTTTGGGAAGAACCACAGGACCATTAGCCGCCTCCTACCACTCTCACTATCACCATGATAAGTCCTAGAAAACAACCTCCTGCCCACTGGGAAGAAACTCTTCTCTACCCTACCCAGCAGTGTGCAGCTGCCTCCACCAGGCAACCTTGGCCTTTGCTGCTGCTCCTCCAGGCACTGCTGTCTTAGTCCAAACGGAGCCAAGAGTAGGTGGAGCAAAGACACCTTGCTTACATTTAGTATTCTGCCCTGTACGTTGCTAGAGCTTTTATCCAAGAAATGCTAATGGTGCAGCAATATTTTCCAGAGTTGTATACTAAAATTAAATTTGTTTCTACTTCCCTCAAGTACCATGAAAATGCAAAGAAACATGGCCCAGTCAGCTCTCAGTGAAAGCCTCCATACTGTTCTCACCTTCCTAAGGGTGAATATGGCTTCTTTTACTAGGTCAAACTCAGCAAATCAAGTTCCTGCTTTCTCTCCTTTTGAATTTTTCAAGAAATCCTGGTTTTGATGAAAACGGAATCTTAAAGATGGCCTTCACTATATCACCTGATATGTCTACATATGTCTGACCTGCTCACCTGCCTACAGACCCACTTATGCAAACACACACACATGTACACACACATATACACGTACACACATATACACACACACACATGGGAAGAAATGGCAAAAGAAACTGATATTTGTTGCATACTGATCCAGGCATTTTGTAAACCTGATCCCATTAGTGGCAGTAACCACTCAATGAGTTAAACATTTAGCTCCATTGCACTGGTGAGACTACCAGAGCCCAGAGTGACCATTATATTTGCTCAAGGCAGCCCAGCTGATAAACGGCAGACCCAAGAAGCAAATCTAGGAGTCCCTCATGCAAGAGTTCATGCCTTGCTGCCCCAAGAGAAAAGCAAACAGGAAGCTGGCTGCTTATATTTGGAGATGGATAAAGAGGAGTTTTATTGTCCTTCTAGGTGACTTTGCACACACTGTGAAATTTGAAAAGGAAACACAGATTTGGGGCAAAGGCTCCATCCAATAACAAAGTTAGCACACCTTGCTAGGGAAATATCTCCAAATCTTTCTATCATTCTTGTCCCCAAAAATAATGCATAAAACTCAAAAGTTTGCATACATGTATGAATGATTCTTGAAGAGAAGCCCTAGAAGCCAAAAGATCCTTAGATTTAGAATTCCTGAGCTTGTGGATTATTTCCTCAAAGAACCTGACCACTGTACAAAGGGTCTAAAAAGATAAGGAACATCTCCAAAAATGAAGTACCACAACATGTCCCAACATCGTTAGGTGCCAGGCTAACTGTGCTATCGCTGGAAAAGATTTTTAAATGTTAGCGTGCTAAAAACAACTACCCAGAGCAGCTGGTAAAAAGGGGCTCCTCCCCCAGCCCCCAAAGCTCTGATTCAGCAAATCTGTGGTTGGGAACAGGAACCTTCCATTTCAATAAGCATTCCAGAGATTTACGTAGTCAAGAAATTCTGTAGTGTGGCAAAATGCCATTATCCACTTCTGCACACCAAGGAATCCTGTCCTAATGACACATGCCTACACCTTGGGAAGGTATGCTGATGAAGAAAAGAATAGGGAATCCAAGTGCCATGAAAAACTATCTGAGTGGAACGATGGACATATACCACAAACATGCTGCACAGATATTTTTCACTCATTAACACAAGCATTAGTTTCACTAAGGCCCAACAAGTGGAAGAGAAACTTCCCACTCTTATATATGTTCCCCCAGGTTTCGCACTGTCCCCTTTGTGTCTTTCCCTTCAGAAGGATGTCAGGAACAGCTGTTTCAGCTACGCAAAGCAGGAGATAGTACTGCCTTGGAAACACGTTTCTTGGCCATGAATCAGACTACCAAGGCCTCATATAGTGAGGACTGCCAGCATATGGCCTCTCAACTCCAAGCCAAAGAATATTTCTAGTGGAGTACAGGCAGGTAGACATGTGCTTTCACTTTAAAATACAGCCATGCATTGTTTAGTAATGCGGATACATTCTGAGAAATGGGTATTTAGGCACTTCTGTGGCTGCGTGAACATCATAGAATGTATTTACGCAAACCTAGATGGTATAACCTACTACACACCCAGGCTATAGGGTATAGCCTATTGCTCCTGAACTACAAACCTGTACAGCATGTTACTGTACTGAATACTTCAGGCAATTATAACACAATGGCAAGTATTTATGTGCCTAAACATATCTGAACATAGAAAAGATAAATTATATAATTTATCCTTTATAATCTATTATAATCTTAAGGAACCACTGTCATAGATGCATTCCATCATTGACCAAAATGTCATTATGCCATGCCAATCGAATAAAAGATTTGCCCATGAAATTCCAGCCCTGAGAGATAGACGTTCAGAAGTTTATTATCAGACTTTCCTGATCTTGCAATTATTGTTTGGATCATAGATACCTAATCAGGCTGCTAAGTGACATTGGCTTATTTAGATTAGTAATCATTCCATTTTCCTTTATGGTCTCCAGAGCTTGTGTTGTTTCTAAAAAGTTTTAATTGCCCCAGTTGGGACTATGTTCAATTATTTGCAAATGAATCCTGTAATCATTAATGCTACAATATTATAGTTTCTACTTTTGAAGATCCCTACAGGTGGAACAACATTTGCACATGTGTATACAGTCCCGAGTGGATTCCAGTGTTTAAAAATCATCCCTGTACTTTTCCCAATTATCTATCATAAGGCTGACATGATTTGTGATTCATGTTGTACATTTCTCTTGTGGACCCTACTAATCTAATAACTAAATATCTGGATGGAGCAGATACACAGAGAGAGTCAGAGAGAGAGAGAAAATGAATGCACACACAGGCTTCTCATTTTCCAGACTTATTAAGATCCATTTGTGCTATTAACTAGTAGTATGTGGTCTTTTCACAAGTGATCTCACCTTTGTAAGCCAAGGTTTTCTTATTTTTTTCCTTTTTATTTTTAGTTGGCATGAAATAATTGTACATATTTATGGGGTACAGTCTGATATTTCAATATGTCTATACGATGTATAATGCTCAGAGTAATTAGTATATCTATTTCCTCAAACATTTATCATTCTTTGTGTTGTGAACATTCACAGTTCTCTTCTAGCTTTCTGAAAATATACACTAAATTATATGTAACCATATTTACCCTATCATGCTGCAGAACACTAGAATCATGCCTCCTATCCAGCTATAATTTTGTATCCATGGAGCAACTTCTCTCCATCCTCCCCTTCCCCTTACTCTTCCCAGCCTCTAATACCCATAATTCCACTCTACTTTTATGAGCTCAAAATAATTTTTTAGTTCCAACATATGAGTGAAAACATGTATTTATCTTTCTGTGCCTGACTTACTTTGCCCAACATAACATTCTCCAGACACATCCAAGTTATTGTGGATGATAGGATTTTATTCTTTTTATGGCTGAATAGTATTCCATGTGTGTGTGCACGCGTGTACTGTGTGTGTGCACACACACACGTGTATATATATATATATATACACATATATATCACATTTTCTTATTTATCCACCTGTTGATGGACACATAGATTGATTCTATATCTTGATTGTGAATACTGCTACAATAAACATTGAAGTTTAGATACCTCTTTGACATACTTATCTCTTTTCCTTTGGATATATACCCAGTAGCGGTTAGTGGGATATATCCTTTGGATATATAGCCGGTATATATATCCTTTGGATATATAGCCGGTATATATATCCTTTGGATATATAGCCGGTATATATATCCTTTGGATATATAGCCGGTATATATATCCTTTGGATATATAGCCGGTATATATATCCTTTGGATATATACCCGGTATATATATCCTTTGGATATATACCCGGTATATATATCCTTTGGATATATAGCCGGTATATATATCCTTTGGATATATAGCCGGTATATATATCCTTTGGATATATAGCCGGTATATATATCCTTTGGATATATAGCCGGTATATATATCCTTTGGATATATAGCCGGTATATATATCCTTTGGATATATACCCGGTATATATATCCTTTGGATATATACCCGGTATATATATCCTTTGGATATATACCCGGTAGTGGGATTGTTGGATCACATGGTAGTTCTGTTTGTAGTTTTTCAAGAAACCTCCATACTGTTGTCCACAATGGCTGTACTAATTCACATTTCTACCAACCGTGTATAAGAGTTCCTTTTTCTCTGCATCCTCACCAGCATTTTTTATCTGTTGTCTTTGTTGTAATAGCCATTCTAACTGGGATGAGGTGATATTTCATTGTGGTTTTAATTTGTATTACCCAGATTATTCTCATAAATCTTGAGCATTTTTTATATGTTTGTTGGCCAGTAATATGTGTTCTTTTGAGAAATGTCTATTCAGTTCCATTGCCCACTTTTAATGAGGTTATTTAACTTTTTGCTGTTGAGTCTCTTGTCAGATGAATAGTTTGCAAATATTTTTCCCACTTTACAGGTTATCGCTTCACTCTGCTGACTGTTTCTATTGCCGTGCAGAAGCTTTTCAGTTTAATATAGCCCCATTTATCTATTTTTGTTTTGTTTCCTGTGCTTTTGAAGTCTTTCCCATAAAACCTTTGCCCAGACCAATGTCCTAAAGCATTTTTCCTATGTTTTCTTCTAGTAGTTTTGTAGTTTGAGGTCTAACGTGGAAGTCTTTAATCCATCTTGAGTTTATTTGTATATATGGTAAGAATATATCTCATTTCATTCTTCTGCATATGAATATTCAGTTTCCTCAGCATTGTTTATTGAAGAAAGTATCCTTTTTCCAGTGTATGTCTTTGGTGCCTTTGTTAAAAATCAGTTAGCTATACATACATGGATTAATTTCTGAGTTCTCTATTCTATTCCATTGATTTTGTGCCTGTTTTCACCAAGGTTTCAATATTGATAAGCTAGATATATAATACTACCAACAGATCTTCTATATGAATGTTAAAAGTTCTTTTAAAGATCAAGTAAGAAATAGATACAGAAGTATTTTCTAAAACATAAAGGGCTTCATATCTGTTTGCTGCTATTAATAGTGCTTGTTGGATGGCTTCTGAAGGAGGGAGTGGTGAGGGAATCAGATATGTGAACCACCTACTTCCTCTAACTCCATCCCATTTTTCAAGGTGGGTGTCAGTACAATCTGTGAAAAACACCTAAATACTCCTGGAGAATGTTATGACACACATTTTTCTTTTTTTTAAGAAACAAGGTCTCACTAGGTTGCCCATACCGGAGTGTAGTGGCTATTCACAGGTGTGATTATAGCACACCAAAGCCTCAACCTCCTGGGCTCAAGTCATCTTCTCGTCTCACCCTCTCACCTCCTTCTCCCAAGCTACTAGGACTACAGGTGCACACAACTGCACCCAGCTTTGTTATCACACACTTTTTGTATATTGACACAATAGACTGTGTATGCATTTATTAAAATTATAATTTTAAAGTCTGTTTCTAACTGTTCACACTACTAGTTACATATAAGAATGTTTTGATTGCAACCATGTAGAACATGTGTCCATGTAAACAGAATCTGGAAAATAATACGCCAAAGGAAATTAGTTGCTGTGGTAGAATAGTATAATTTATGGATTTTTTCTAAATATTTTTGCACATTGCTGTTGTCTATTCTTCCTTTTTTCTTTTGTTTTCAATAATAATTCTAAGTCCTTTCAATTTCTCACTATTTTGACCTTTCCTCTTCTTTTTCAATAAAGATATTTTCTTATCTTTGTCCGTTGCTAACTCATCATAAATTTTAAAAAAATGCCTTCTTAGGAACTCTGCCTTCAGCTCCTTCACTTAGAGAGGTAGAAGGGAATCAAACTTCACTGTAATGCAGGCTGTGGTTACAGATGATTTTACCACCTTTGAGTTCTCATCTACATTTCTTCTAGAGGGATAGCCTGGGAAAGAAAGCCCAGAGTATCTCAACCCTCAAGAAAACAAAATAACGGTAGGAAATCACACTAAATATGTGGAGATATGGGAAAGATGACAAAATAGCTGGAAGAAGGCATTTATATTAATAACTGAGGAGTGGAGACATCAAATTAGAACATAAATTGCCCTAGTGACTATTTAAATACTATATCCTATTTCTCAGAGTAAGGATGAAGAATGTAAACAGTGAAGCCCTCCTTCCCATTTTTCTAACACCATAGGTCAGATGTTTGAGACACTGCTTCAATTAACTCATAAGTATACCCATCTATTGCATTTAGGGGACTGAGAAAGATGAATAGTAGGATATCTAGTCAGTGTTAGAGCAGTGAAAATTTATCTGCTCAGTAAATCTTGTGTAATGCATAATAGGTGCTGTTTCAGGCACTAGGGATACAACTATAGGGAAAAAATGCCTTCGAAGAGTTTACAATATAGGAAAAATATACTTACAAGCAAAACATTATAAAATTATGTGAAAAATAATTTTAGAAAATATGCACAGTATGAAGCAGAAGAACAGAAAGAAGACATTCAGTGGTAAGTAGTATATTTACTGAAGTCCTGTCTGTATTCAAAAATGTGACCTGAATAAGCATGGTGAAATAAATGATTAGATTTCTTTCTCCAATATTAAAAAACATAGACATCACCCGGTATTAGCAGAAAAGAGGGTACTAGCCTAGTCTTTGGCCTGATTTCAGCCATGCAAACCCTAAACCCTGAATTAAGACAGACTGTATTATTCTCCTTTCCATAGAGATGTAATGTCCCATATGACTTCAAATAATGACAGCATACAAAGTTACAGCTAGAGAGAGTCAGAAAAATCAAATAAAACCATGTTATTTTAAGTTAAAGCTCAAAGAATACAGTTACTTTTCCATTGACAAAAATCTCTAGTTAGTGGCAGAATGGAAACTAGAATGCAGGCCCTTTTAAAACTACTTTATAGCAGTCTTTACATTGATCCACACATACTTTTAAAAAGGTTTCTCTTCAATGTTTCCCTGATCATTTACCTACCGCGAAGAATTAATTCTACACTGATACAATGAGATACCAAGCATATTTCTTAAAAAGAATTTTATCTGAGTTCAATTTTATCTGAAAAGAACAAACATAAGATAGGTATGGAAATATTTTACATTCATCAAAACTGTTTACAGACGTATCTTAGGGGAAATTATATTTCCAAAGCTCTTAAAATTGCTATGAAACATAAATCAAGTCTTTCTTTTTTTTTTTTTCTTTTTTTTATTGAGACAGAGTCTCACTCTGTCACCAGGCTGGAGTGCAGTGGTGCGATCTCGGCTCACTGCAACCTCCACCTCCCAGATTCAAGCTATTCTCTTGTCTCAGCCTCCCGAGTAGCTGGAACTACAGGCATGCACCACCACGCCCAGCTAATTTTTGTATTTTTAGTAGAGACAGGGTTTCACCATGTTGGCCAAGATGGTCTCGATCTCTTGACTTCATGATCTGTCCACCTCGGTCTCCCAAAGTGCTGAGATTACAGGCATGAGCCACCGCACCTGGCCGTGTCTTTTTTCATAATTCTTCATCTTGAGTCCATTTCCCACTAACCTGCTCAGCATTTCTGTACTATCTTCCATTTGTTTATGATATATAAGCATGAGCATTTTTATATCTTTATTGAACATTTGGATATTCTTTTTGTGACATGTCTTGTTCATGTGTTTTATCCAGTTTTCTCTTGAGCAGCCTTTCTCATATTTATTTAAAGCAATTCTCCATGTATCCTGGATACTAGTTCCTTGTCAAATATGTGTATTTCACACATCCACTCCTTATCCAGCCATCTGCTCTCTCTAAGGCAGAAACACAACTAACAGCTCTCTAAAGAGACAAAAGTGTGAATAATTCTTTTGGAGGTCATGAAAGAATCTCCTTATTAATCAGTCTACTGCTGTGAGAGCTGAACTCCACTGAGATCTTGTCAGAAGGAAACAAAAAAGGACATCAAATGAGGCTAAAACAAAGCTACATTGATTGCTACACTGGCAAGAGAAAACTGTATCACTCAGTGTTGAGTTCTTAGATCACTCTGAGCAGAAAATGAAAGGACTAAATATGGGCAATAGGAAGAAATACATCATATAAGGCAGAACGCTGAATCCAAGACTGTGATTGCTGGATGAAGTGGATTATAAGTTCTTTTTGTAAATGTTTGCCTTCAGTTTTCTCTTCACCAATCCTGGGAAGCCTAGAGTTAGGTCTGGAGTGTATTATACAGATTCCAGTGGAATCTATATAACAGTGGATGTAGGGTCATTGACTGGTTACATTTATATATTACTGAATAAATTTGGCAATACGTATTTTGCTAAGTATGTATTTTGCTAAAAGTATGTATTTTGCTAAGTCAAAGTAGATGATCAAAATATCTATATTTTGCATGATTTCAATTTATATCACATTCTACAATGTTTTTGTTACATTTTTTGAGCTTATTGTAACTTAGTACACCAATGGTATAGCACTTTGCCTCTTGATGCTAACGTTGCCCCCTCAACAACCAATCGTCTTTGTAAAACACAGATGACAGCAGCTAGGGTTCCCCATCAGCAAGTAAGGAGCCGTTTCTGAACAGGCAATACTAAGAGGATGTCTGAGATCTGACAGGTCAGAGTACTGGCTACTGGAGAAACAAGAGGAAGTTGCTTGTAAAGTTCAAAGGACCAAAGTTCCAAGAAGGTGCTTTACTAGAGAAAAGGTAGGGACCTAGGAAGTTTAATGAGTCACGTGGAGTCTGGAATGTGATAGAAAAAAACAAAGTATCTGAATCGTGTTTCAATAGGACAAGGGTCCTATTGATCTGAGAATTTGAAAAGCCACACAAATTCCTCTTCCACCTCCTTCATTGGCTTGCCTCCATTGTTGCAAAAAAAAAAATCCATAAAAAGTCAAAATATAGCATGCATAAAAAGATACTATAATTTTCAAAACAGAAGATGAAAATTAAAAATTCTGAGCAAATGATAGAACATACACATACATGCATACACATACACATACATGCATAAACATACATGCATACACATTAGCAATAGCCAATAAAGCAGAGAAAAACTATAACGCATAACTGACATAAATTTTTTAAATTGAACAAATAATTTCAGATATAAAAGAACACTTTGAACAAAAAAAATGTCCAGGTTACAGTAATAAAATAACAAATATTTCAAAAATTGAGCAAAATATTTTAACACATACTTTACCAGAAAATGTATGTAAGATGATGAATTTGCACCTGAAAACATTCTTTATGACATTAGTCATAGGGAAAATACAAATCAAAACCAAAATGTGAGATACCACAAATCAAATCTCAAATCTATGAGAATAGCTGAAATTGAAATGGCTAACAATATTGAGTGCTGATGAGGATATGAAGCAAGGGGAAATCTCAAACACTGCTGTAGGGAATACAAATGGTACAGCCACTTTGGAAAACAGTTTAACACTTTCTTGCAAAGCTAAAAATACACATACCACACAATCTCATTTTTAGTATTCACCCAGGTAAAATGAAAACAAATGCCCATACGAAGACCCACATGCTAACATTTATAGCACCTTGATTCAAGATAGCCAAAAACTGGAAAAGCCAACATTTCCATTTGCAGGAGAATGATAAACAAATTGTGGTATAATCATCCAATGAAATTCCATTCAGTAATAAAAAGGAATGTACTACCCATATACCCAACAAAGTAATGCATCTGGAAAGTACGTATTTTGCAAGTCAAAGTAGATGATCAAAATGTCTATGTTTTGCATGATTTCAATTTATATCACATTCTAGAAAAGGCAAACCTATAAAAACAGAAATCAGATCAATGTTTACCAGAAGGTAGGGGTGGGAGAAGAGGCTGGCCACCAAAAAGCATGAAGAAACGTCTCAAGATAATAGACATGTTCCATGTATTAAATATTATAGTGGTTACGTAAATGCACACACTTATCAAAATCTCATCTATCTGTACACTTTAAAAGGGTGGACTTTATTATTTGTAAATTATACCTCAGTGAACATGATTTTAGAAAACATATTGCCAAAGTCTGTTAAACAGTTTATTTTTTTAAAACTCAGAATAAAAATAGGTAAGCATTATGTAGGTGTAAAACAGAAACTAACAGAACTAAAATAAAAAATTGAAATTTTTAAATAAAAAATGACCCCTATAGAGAGTTTAAACACATAATTTTCCATAAAAGAAATGGGGAAAAGTTACCAATGAGCTACGATGCATAAAAGCATAGGCACAGAGGGTTTTGCAAAAGAGTTCTACCACAACTCTAAGAGCTAGTAAGTCCAATACTGCAAACTGTTACTGAGCATTGGAAATGAAAGAACATTTCCATCTTTCTATGTTGGAATGAACATAACACTGATTTAAAACCTGATATTGATTGTCCATTCCTAAAAATTTACCTTACTATACCCACCAGGGCAAAGGTACTAAAAGTAACGTTCATTGAACATTTAAAAATAATATGTATAACCAAGTGAGGTTTATTACAAGAATGGAAGAATTACAGAATATCAGGAAATGCATTAATATAATTCATCATCTTAATAGATCTAATTTGAAATTACACATTCTTCTCCACAGATACCAAAAAATCATTTAACAAAATTCAACACCTAATCTGTTTTCTTTTTAATTGATGAGATGGGGATCAATTGCTACTTTCTTAAAAGATGAAGCATGTATTATATAATGGAGAAACATTGTTTCAATTAAGGTAGGACAAGGACAAAAAAACCTACTATTGCTGCTACTGTTGGACCTTGTAATACAAGTCTCTGACAAATGGAAGAACCAAGCAGAAACAATTAGAGGCATAAAAATTATAAAGAAGGAGGTAAAAATAAATCTCTGTTAAGAACATATAAAATCATAACTTGAAAACCTCAGAGAATATAAAAAATAATTTTCAATAACAGAATAACAAGAATTTGGTAAGAATTCAGTAGGAATAAAATTAACATACCAAAACCATGAGACTTTGTATATACAAATTATAACCAATACAAAAATGCAATGGAATAGGAGATCTAATCAAACTATATAGCCATAAAGACAGATGTCGACACAGCTATTTCAAAATAGGACATATCCTGGCAGATTAAAACACAGAAGAATTAAACTAATCAATAAAAAACTGATTTATATAACCTTCCATCACACATAAATTTCATTATTGGTATAAGAATTTTACCTTTTTGTTTGCTGACAGAATATTCAAAATTAATCATGTGCTCAGCCACAAAGGAAACCTTGACAAATTCAAAAAATAAATTTTTCAGTATATTTATTTATTTATTTATTTATTTATTTGAGACAGAGTCTTGCTCTGTTGCCCAGGCTGGAGTGCAATGGCACAATCTTGGCTCACTAGAACCTCCGCCTCGTGGGTTCAAGCAATTCTCCTGCCTCAGCCTCCCAAGTAGCTGGTATTACAGGCATACACCACCACATCCCGCTAATTTTTGTATTTTTATTAGAGACGGGGCTTTACCGTGTTGGCCAGGCTGGTCTCAAATTCCCAACCTCACGTGATCTGCCTGCCTTGGCCTCCCAAACTGCTGGGATTACAAGCATAAGCCACCATGCCCGGCAAGGTATATTTATTACAATTTATTTTTAACAAAGGAAAAAAACTTTAAACAGTGATCTAAAATTGATAGCTGCTTGGTAATTAAGAATTTCTCCCAGACAATCCCTGAATTCTTGGTGAAATCAAACCTAAAATTAAACACTGTCTAATAAGAAGCAAAATAGTAAAAAAAGTTACAGGAAACGTATGAGATATAGCAAACTCAGTGCCTAAAGACAAATATATGGTCCTAAGTCTACACATATTAAAGAATTTAAAACTATTTTAAGAAGTTCAAGGGATACAAGCAAAAACAAAAGGAAAATAATAAAAATAATAACTCAAAATAATGAAATATGATCTTGAAAATAATATTTTCAAATGGATAAATACCTAAATAAATGGACCTTGAAAAGACCAACAAAACTGATAATAAACCATATTAAGAAAAAACAGAGTACGTGAATCTACAGCAAAAAAAAAAAAAATCAATCCTCATCTTCTAGTGACACAAATATTTAACCATAAAATTATGTCAGGATTTGGTTCAGAATAATTCAGAGGATGAGCTTTGAAGCTGGATGAAGGATACATGGGAAGTCATTATACTACTGTCTATTTTCAAAATCGCACATTTCACCTTGAAGCTACAATGCTATTTTTCTTTTTCCCTTTATCATTATTTATTTGCTCTTGTCACCTGTTAAAAGAAAAAAAAATTATCCTACTACTTCTCTCATCATTCTACTGAAAATGCTATGGCCAAAATCACCAATGACATTCTAATTGCCAAATCCAGTGGCCTTTCCTTTTCTATCTCTTATCACATTCTGTGTGATATTTCTGCATATGTGACATGCACATCTAGGTTTCAATTGCTATCTCAAGTCTGATAACCCGTTGTCTATTACTCCCTGAATGCACCCAATCTCATTCAAGGTTGATAACCCTCTAATCTCCTGTCAAGTTCCAGAAGTAAATTTTTTCTGTATATTGCCTGTTCTAAGCACCTTCAGCTTAACCAGACCAGTGCTTACTATATGGCACCTTTGACTAGCTGGAATGGCAGGTGGAATGGCAGCTGGAATGCCATCTGGAATGGAATCTTTGACTAGTTCTCCCTAGCTAAAAACTTGATTTCTTTTTGACATGTATCTTACTCATCCTTCACATCCTATCTCTTTCTCTAATTTGGCTACATCTTTAAATCTTTACTGCCACTACCAGTTAAAACCAAAATGAAACAAAAGCCTTTCAGCACAGGAATTCTACTCTTAAGAATCGATGGCATAGAAATAAAATTATCAACATGAAAGAGCATAATAGGAGTTTCCCATATACCCTCTTGGTCCCCCCACTCCCCTAGGCCCCAGGGTCAAGGGTCAAACCAATAGTTAATTTCATGGCAGCTGGCAACCCTAAAAACAAGCTGACCCTGATATGGGATTGGTGAAGGGTGGGAGTTCATCCCCACAGCTACCAGAAGTGTTAGCTGCTGTGGCTTGCAGTTTCTAGGAGATTTAGGAATATCTCTTGAGAAAGAAGGGAAATCACACCCTAGGGGCAGCCAGATGCTCAGTGTAAAGGCTAGGCATTCTTGCCTCTATAAAGAATGACTCTGAAGGACCACCCCAGAGCCAGAGCACCTCGTGGGGTCAGCCAGGGCTTCTTCTGTTGCACCCACACCTCAGTTCAACTTCTGCTCAAACCTGCTTCCCTTAAACAATTACAGGTGTGGTTCCCAAAAGTGCTTCACAAAAAAACTCCCTGGATACAAATTCCTGCCTCAGAGCCTTTTCCCAGAAAACCCAAATTAATACTATGGTAATTGCTGACAGATCATATACTATGTGCCAAGGACTCTTTCAAGTGCTTTATGTCTCTAAACGTATTTAATCTTTACAAAATCCCTAGGTAGTAGGAAGCATTATTATCTCTAAGACCACACAGCTACTGAGTGGTAGAGCTACAATTTAAAACCAGGATCCTTAGTCCGTTTTCTTAACCCTAAAGCCTTCCTCATAAGATTAAGTGTATTGTTGAGTATTGTGCTTAAAAATGAAAACGATAAATAATAATAATAAAGTATACAAAGATGTGTAGAGAGATCTAGAAGAAAGACAGCTTGACATGTTTGAGGTAATAAAAAAAAGTCTATTTTGAGCCAAGGAAAGTCACCTGCATTGAGGTCAGAAAATACGCAGAGTGAGGCCTTTGGAGATGAAGTTCATCTTAGTTGTGTAAAAGGCAAATTTTTTTTTTTTTTTTGGATTGTAGCAGAAGTCCTCTAGCTCTTGACTCTGAGGCCTACCATGTTTGCCTACTCAAGGAATCGAAAACTGTTTTATATGCCAAGTTAGAGGCAATTCTGTCAAGAAATGATTGTCCATGCCTTATAAATGAGATTGGGCTATAATGGCTCAGTGTATCTATCAGGCCAGTAGTTTGGTTTCAGGATGATGGTTTATTTCCTGGATGACTCCCTAACTAAATGTCACTGGGACCTCCCAATGGGAACACACATTTCTTCAAACATCCTAAATTTTGAGTGGTCATTCCCTGTTGTGATACTAGCTAGCTAACTATTTATCTCAATGATCTTGAAATCCTTTTCCTCTTCACTGGCCCCTACAAAATGTTAACTAATCTTGGAGCGTGTAATTCTAACTCCTAAATTGGACCTCTTTAGTCATGCACGTCTAACTTAATTCAAGGCCTCTAATGATCCCTGTATGTGACAGCTCTTTCTACATGTGATGTCAGATCCCTATATCTGATAGCTCTCTCAGGACTTCTGGACC
This sequence comes from Homo sapiens, assembly GCF_000001405.40. Lineage (NCBI taxonomy): Eukaryota > Metazoa > Chordata > Mammalia > Primates > Hominidae > Homo > Homo sapiens. Next base: position 123,885,711 of record NC_000011.10, on the reverse strand, counting down.
CCTTGGTTCTTTCACTCCACTAGGCCCCAGGGTCAAGGGTCAAACCAATAGATGATTCCATGGCAGTTGGCAGTCCTGACAGCAGGCTGGCCCTGATAGATAACGGAAGTGAGGAAGGGTGAGAGTTATCTATCTTCTCTGTTTTATAGACTACTTCAGCTTCTGCTGTTACCAATGCCTCAGCAACCACTGAAAGTTCAGATATCACCCTTCTTGTAACTAATCAAATCAAGGAAGAGATCTACAAAATAGTGGTGGTGGTTCCAGCTAGAAATTTTCACTCACAATGGTGCATGTTTCAAATAGAAGTATCCAGGGTATGAACATACTTTTCTCCTCCTGGGCCGTAGTCTTAATGGTGATGGGAATCACCTTAGATAAATGGGTTGAATTGATTTCAGAAGATGAAAGAGCCAAGATGAACCACAGTCCTTGGATGATGTGTTGCCCTGCTCTTTGGCCAGAAGGTCAGAACTGTACTCTAGAAAGAGACGGGTGGAAAGGAAGGGTGTGTCCTTAACTTGGCTTTCCTTAACTTGCATTAATCTCACCAGTGTACCCATTATTTTCTGGTGCAGCTTCTCAAGTTGCAGTGTTCTTCCTTCCTTCCATAGTCAATACAGTCAAGGCAGATTCCAAAATCTCACCATTTAGGTGTTCTGGAGAAAAGTTTATATGTTCACAGCCTTAACTGCTGGGCATTTGAGAAGTCTCAGCAGTAGCAGCAGGGTGATCCACACAACTAGACATGTGGGTAAGAAAGAAACGTAACTGGCATTAAGTAATCTGTATTGCCACTAGATGATGGAGTGAATTGCGGTATTTAACAAGAATAGAGTTTGAAGAAAATAATAGAAGAGAAAGACACATAGAGAGACATCAGGATAGAGAAAATGTTTTTGGTTCTCTTATTCAGCTTAAGGTTCCCCTGCTTGTTATTTTCCAACTTCTTTCTTATTGTTTAATCAAATCTTTCACCCTATTCCAATTTTCACCTAGAGACTTCTGGACCCCAGGTAGAAATGAGTCTAGAAGAAATATCTGTCCTCTCAAAACAGCTTTTGCTTTCCAACAGATGACCTGAAAGTGGTCAGGATTATGATGACGTCGAGCCTTGGCCTTTCCTTCCTCCTTAACTTAATCCTGGGTATGAAATTCACCTATCTGATTCCTCAAAATAAATATATACAACTCTTCACTACCATCCTCAGTTTCTTCTCAGGTAACTTCCTGGCTCCCCTAACACAAGCTTGTAGGTGTACTTTGATGGGTGGGTTCAGGCTGCAGTCTCTGAAAACTATATATATATATATGTAGCTTCTGAGTTAGATCTACCATAAAAGCAGGATCAGGATCAGTCTTTGGGCAAGGTGTAGTTGGACCGGGTGGGGGTTGGGAAGTCAAGTGTATATGGAATGAAGACTTGCATCAAGGAGCCAAAGTTCCTCAGAAGGGACTTTTTTCTTTTTCTTTTTTTTTTTTTTTTTTTGTCTGGACATCAGGTATCTCTCTGCTCTGGGCACTCATACTATATCACAATAAGCTGAAGCAAGGTCAATCCATGCACTTCTCTAGTTATAGGATCACCTGGATCATGTATACTGCTTACTTAAATGTTTTCTTCTTGTCTGTCTGTGGTGAGTGTCTCCAGGGCCCCTGAAGGGTGTTAAGAACCAATCCATCCCCGACAGAGGGAAGGGTAAAAAGATGAGAATAGAGGGAAAAGTGCCAAACCTTGCATTTTAAAAGGCTGCAGCTCACCTGGATTCATTCTCTGATGACAGTTCCTCCAAGAAGAGTGGGAGGTCAGGCCTATGTGAGATGTCTGCTGTGCCTGGCCTCAGAGGGTAGCTCCCCATCTCCGCCTTTTATTTGCCTTTCACACCCTCCCCGCTTTGGGGCAGAGATAACCACCAAAGTCATGACCAAGGTGGGTGTCTGAGACAGAATGCTCAGCCTCTGTGGAGAGGAACAGTGACCTTGGGAGTACAGTGTAGTGTCAAGGCAGTTTGAGGGCAGAGAGAAACAACATCTGATGCTAGATGGCCATCTACCGAAACCGAAGTCTCCCCTTTCCTAAGAAGTCTTTAAAATTTCATTTGTAATTACACTTCCTAACCCAAAAAGAAGCATGTTCTCTTTCAAAAAGAATCCTCAATTTTCTTAAGCTGAGCAGAATTTAAGCTATTGTACATACACTTCCGGTTTCTTCCACTAAAGCATTCACCTCCCAGATGGCTTTCGGTAGTTAAAAGGGATCCACTGGGCTTTGGGTCAGGGTCTTCAGCCAAATTGGAGAGAATTGTTTCTGACTCTCCATTGTCCCTTCATCCCACTCCCTGGAATCTCTTTTCCCTAGGAGTCCTCTCTCTCCTAGAGTGCAAGTTGTCTACCAGTAGCTGTACCTGCCTGAACATCCATAAATCTGACAACGAATGTAAGGAATCTGAGAATTCTATCGAAGATATTTCATTACCAGAATGCACTGCAATGCCTCGTAGCATTGTCCGTGCACACACTGTGAATTCCCTAAACAAAAAAGTCCAAACACGTCACGTAACCTGGGCTCTGTGATTTGGCAATCTATTTCTTGCAGTATATGCTCATCTTTATGGAAAAAGCTTTGTGGGTGTGTGCTGTGTCTCCAACCATGTTGTCTCTATTTGGAATTATGGTTGGGGTTTGTAAAAAGATCTGGAAGATGGTTTTTTAAAAAATCCTGGCCTGCTGAACGAATAGTTTCTTCTGCAACATTTGTTGTTAATATAATAAATATTATCATATAAATAATACTTTCTGTATTGTTAAGTCTATACATCACAAACACTTATAATGATATATAACAGTTGTATTGTGAAATATTTCAAACATACATAAGAAATACAAAATGATGATCAAACACCTATGTACACATCAACCCAACTTTATAAAATTTTAACATTATTTCCTGGAGAAGTTTTTCCGTTAAATTTATAGATATAACTGATGTTCCTCTAAAAACTTCTCCAATTTCATTTCCATCTCTTGTTTCCTATCATAAAACACTTTTAAGGATGCGTTGCTGATGATTCTACATTCATGTTGACATTTTCACTACAAATTTATACATCTATAAAAATTATATAGACCAGCTTTTCAAATGTTTGAAAGTTGATCAATATTACACTGTAGAGATCATGTTGTATTTATTTTCATAAATTGCTGAAATAAATCTTCTAATTATTTTAGAATTCCTGAATCTATCTATGTAAGTAAAACTTGGTTCCTTCATGCCTTTTTGTGGTTCATACTTTGTGGGGCTAAGTAATATTCCATCGTAAGACTGTACCACAGTTGGTTTATCTATTTCACCTACTGAAGGATATCTTGGTTGTTTCCAAGTTTGGGCAGTTATGAATAAAACTGTTATAAACACCTGTGTGCAGGTTTTTGTGTGAACATAAGCTTTCAACTTTTTTGGGTAAATACCAAGGAACATGATTGCTGGGTTATATGAGAAGAATGTGTTTAGTTTTGTAAAAAACTTCCAAACTGTCTTCCAAAGTGGCTATACCATTTTGCATTCTACCAGCAATATATGAGAGTTCCTGCCGTACCACATCCTTGTCAGCATTTGATGTTGTCAGTATTGTGAATTTTGACCACTTTAATAGATGTGAATGTGTCTTATTGTTTAAATTTGCAATTCTCTAGTGATTTATAATGTGAAAAGCATCTTTTCATATGGTTACTTGGCATCTATGAGGTATCTGTTCCATTCTTTTGCCCTGTTTGTAATCAGCCTTTTCATTTTTTTGGTGAGTGTTTAAATGTTATTTGTATATTTTGGATAACAGTCCTTTATCAGATATGTCTTGCAAATACTTTCTCCCAGCCCGTGGTTTGTATTTTCATTCTTGACAACGTCTTTTGTAGCACACTGGTTTTTAATTTTAATAAAGTCCAGCTTATTAATTCTTATTGTGCCTTCAGTGTTCTACCAAAAAGTCATCATCATACTCAAATTCATCTACATTTTCTCCTGTCTTATCTTCTAGTTTTATCTATTTCCATGATTCATCTTGATTTAATTTTTTTGGAAGGTATAAGGTCTGTGTTCAGATTTCTTTGTTTTCATGTTGATGTCCAGTTGTTCTGGCACCATTTATTGAAAAGCCTTCATTGAATTTCCTTTGCTCCTGGGTCTATTTCTGGACTCTCTGTTCTATTCCGTTGATCTATTTGTCTTTTTTTTTTCACCAAAACCACATTGTCTTCATCACTACAGCTTCATAGTAAGTCCTGAGATCAGGTAATGTCAGTCCTCTGACTTTGTTCTTCTGAAATATTATGTTGGCTATTCTGGGTCTTTTTCATCTCTCTATAAACTTGAGAATCCAGTTGTCAATGTCCACAAAATAACTTGCTGAGATTTTTATTGGAATGTGTTGAAACTGTAGAATAAGTTAGGCAAAATTGACATCTTGACAATATTGAGTCTCCCTATCCATGAATATGTAATATATATCCATTTACTGAGTTATTTGATTTTTTATCAGAGTTTTGTAATTTTCCTGGTGGATTTTATTACAGTTGGTGCAAAAGTAATTGCGGTTTTCAACCATTACTTTTAACGACAAAAAGCCACAATTACTTTTGCACTATAGTATTTTGTTAGATTTATAGCTAAGTATTTTAATTTGGGGGATGCTAATGTAAATGGGATTGTGTTTTTCACATTTCAGATTTCACGTGTTCATTTCTGGCATATAAGAAAGCAATTGACTTTTATACATTAACCTGTATCCGGGAGTCTTGGGTTTTTTTTTTTTTTTTAATCTTTCAGGTTTTCTATACATACAATCATGTCATCTGTGAACAAAAAGTTTTATTTATGACTTCCCAATTTGTATACATTTTCTTTTCTTCTTGCACTTTCAGCACGTCTAGGATGATGTTGAAAAGGAGCGATTAGAGGAGACATATTTGCTTTGTTCCTGATCTTAGTGGGAAAGCTTCTCATTTCTCAACATTAAGTATGATGTTTAAGTCAATTTTTTTCTAGATGTTCTTTATCAGATTGAGGTAGTTTCCCTCTATTTCTTGTTTTGGGAGAGTTTTTATTATAAACCAGTCTTGGATTTTGTCAAATCTTTTCCTGTATCTATTGATATGATCATGTGATTTTTCCTTGTTAGCCTGTTATGTGATGGGCCACATTAGTTGATTTTCAATGGTGAAATATCTTGTTGAAGATTTTTGCATCTACCTTCATGAGAGATGTTCTGTAGTTTATTTGCTTATAATGTCTTTGTCTGGTTTTGGGTAACACTACCCTTATAGAATGTTTAAAATTCCCTCTGCTTCTGTCTTCTGGAAGAGGTTATAGAAAATTGGTATAATTTCTTCTTCAAATGTTTAGCACATTTCAGAGGAGAACCTATCTGGGCCTTGTGCTTTCTATTTTGGAAGGTTATTAATCATTAGTTCAATTTCTTTAATAGATACAGGCCTATGAAGAGTGTTTGTTTGTTCTTATGTTGGTCGTGGCACATTGTTTCTTTCAAAGAATTGGTTATCAAATTTGTGGCCACAGAGGTGTTCACAAAATTATTTTATTATTATTTTACTCCCCATGGGATCTGTTGTTATATGACCTCTTTCATTTCTGATATTAGTAATTTGTGTCTTCTCTTCTTTTTCTTACTTAGCCTGGCTGGAAGTTTATTAATTTTACTAATAATTTTGCAAAACCAGTTTTTGGTTTTCTTTAATTTTCTTTACTGATTTCCTGTTTTCAACTTCATTGACCTCTCTAATTTTTTTCTTCTGATTATTTTGGATTTGATTTACTCTGCTTTTTCCAGTTTCCTAAAATGGAAGTTTAAATTACTGATTGTAAATATTTATTCTTTTCAATTACAGTTGACCCTTGAGCAACACAGGTTTGAACTATGTAGGTCTACTTATACATGGATTTTTTTCAATAAATATGTTGCAAAATATTTCGGAAATCTGTGACAATTTGAAAATTCTTGCAGACAAGCTGCATAGACTAGAAATATCAAAAAAATTAGAAAACATTGCGTGTGTCATGAATGCATAACAGCTGTAGATACTAGTCTATTTTATTATTTACTACCACATTATATACACAAATCTGTTATAAAAAAGTTAAAATTTATCAACACATGCACACAAACACAGACAATATGTAGTACCAGTTGCAATTGAGAGAAATACAAAAAAAGCAGTGTTAAATAATAACTGCATAAAATTTACTGTAGTACATGTTGTACTACTGTAATAATTTTGTAGCCACCTCTGTTGCTATTGCGTTGAGCTCAAGTGTTGACCATCCACTGAAAACGGTATGACACTAATCATATCCATGTGAGCAGTTTGTCTTTCTGGTAAATTGCATATCACAGTAAAAAGTAATCTCTCATGATTCTTGCATATTTTCATGCTTAGTGCAATACAGTAAATCTTGAATAACACCATGGGACTCATATGAAGTGCCACTGGTGATGCTGAAAGTGCTCCCAAGAGGCAAAGTCATGAAGTTAGAAGAAAAAGTTGAATTGCTTTATATGTACCATAGATTGAGGTTTGCAACTGCAGCTGTTCACCATTTCAAGATAAATGAATTAAGTGAAAGGATCGTAATATAAAATGAAGAACAAATTTGTGAAGCTATCACTGAAGTTATGCCAGCAAATAAAAAAAATGTACTTTTTGCTAAATACCTTTTAATCTCACATTGAAAATGTAGCTTTTGGCGCGGTGGTTCACGCCTATAATCCCAGCACTTTTGGGAGGCTGAGGTGGGCAGATTTCCTGAGGTCAGAAGTTCAAGACCAGCCTGGCCTACATGGGAAAACCCCATCTCCACTAAAAATACAAAAATTAGCTGGGTGTGGTGGCAGGTGCCTGTAATCCCAGCTACTCAGGAGACTGAGGCAGGAGTATCTCTTGAACCCAGGAGGCAGAGGTTGCAAAGAGCGGAGTCCATGCCATTACACTCCAGCCTAGGTGATAAGAAGGAAACTCCATCTCAAAAAAAAAAGAAAGGAAAGAAAATGTAGCTTTCATGTCACTGAAGGATTGTTATAAGAAGGACATACCTGACCGGGTGCAGAGGCTGATGCCTGTAATCCCATGATATGTGTAAGTGGAGATATGCAATCCCTCTTATTAAAAAGAAGGGTGCATAATGATGGAACAATAATACAATCTACCAATGTTGCTTAATGTTTGCTTTGTATATCCCTTTTCTATTCTTTTGTTTTTCAATTACTACTTCTGCTTCTGTATTAGGTGTGCCTCGAATAAACAAACTACACTTGAATTGCTTAGTATCCCTTTTCTATTCTTTTATTTTTCAATTATTACTTCTGCTTCTGTATTAGGTGTGCCTCAAGTAAACAAACTATATTTGAATTGCTTAAGTTAATGCAGCAATCTCTGGCTTTTAATAGATAGAAATGTCAAAGCTTCAAGGCTTTGATAGTAAGAAATTGATGGGTCCCAAAGACTGAATTTGTGTCCTTGAATAGAGGCGCTAAGAGCCACAATGCAAAGAACACATACAGGATACACTGTCAGAGAGAAATGTTAATTGACCACCTCTCCATTCCATGTCTGGCTGCTTTGGAAGGTGTCGATCCCATATCTTTTTGAGATTACTTTTTAAATCTAGAAAATATCTGTGTTCACTTATTTACATCTAGTCATCACTCTAATTCATCAACCTTAGGGCTTTAGGCTAGTATAAGGATTAGGTATAGACTAATATAAATATGGAGAAAGTTACCTTTTATAGATCTTTGCAAAAATAAGAAGAGTTTATCTGCATTTTAACAGAGAAATAAAGGTACGTTTATTATTTCAGGCCATTAGAAGGATCATTATTGCAGCATTCTTAGGAAAGAAAAATATGACTTAATTTTGTCAAACATTTAGAAAGATTAAAAGTTTTCATGTTTCCAGTTTCCACAATGCTCTAATGCAGGCCACCAAGCTTTCATTAACTGAATAAAACAAAACAGCAGGAACAATTCCCCTAGAGTCCCGAGGGAGTCTATTTGGCATTTCCCACTAAACTTCGTAATTGTGACTGATTTTTCAGGCTTAAAATGCTTTGATTACAACAATAGTAATTAACCTCTTTCACTCAATGTTCCCAAGAGTCATTCTCAATCAAATCCCTAAGAGCAAGCATGAGCTTCAAATGTCACAGTTTATTAATGGCCTATTTTAATAGAGAAAAGGACATGTCACGTCCTAGAGTCAGAAAAAGAGGTAGAAGCTCAACGTTCCATTTACCTTATAAAGGATGTGGAGTTTTCAGAATATATACATAAAAATAACTGGTAAGCAAATTCTAAGTCAACGTAATGGCAGATTTTATGGTAGAGATGGACAAAGATGTAATGGACTATCCACAGTAAGTCTCTCAGGCTAGAACAATATTTTGGAAGAATATTGATATTTTGACCTTGATAGGACTACGTGATCCTAAATATCTCTTTCAATCCTGACATTTTTTTCTGGATCTTAAAATGTTCCAGTTACTCAGTTACTCAAAGTAGTAAGAACATTTCCAAACATGGAACATGCTGCTGAGATTAACATATCTGCATTTACTAAACTAGAGCTGAGCCCTAGTTCTGATTTACCAGACTTCTCAACTTGTTTTCCCTTTCTGAAAAAGTGGGAATAAGAGCCCCTACTATGCCTGCCTGTGAGTAATGAAAATCTTTGAGTCACACAGAGCCGCATTCAATCTGGCTTTGCTACCTACTAGCTATGTGATTTTAAGTAAGCTAACCTCCATAAATTTCCGCAAAATGTTTATTTTAACAATTCTCGATGAAAAGAGTCAAACTCCGTAAAATATTTGAAGAGATTTATTCTGAGCCAAATATGAGTGACCATGGCCCATGACATGGCCCTTAGAAGGTCCTGAGAACATGTGCCCAAGGTGGTTGTGGTGCAGCTTGGTTTTATACATTTTAGGGAGGCATGAAATATCAATCAAATACATTTGAGAAATACATTGGTTTGGTCTGGAAAGGTGGGATAATTTGAAGCTGGAAAGGGGCTTCCAGGCTATAGGTAGAGTTAAACATGTTCTAGTTTACAATTGGTTGAGTTTGTCTAAAGACCTGGGATTAATAGAAAGACAATGTTCAGATTAAGATAAAAGACTGTGGAGACCAAGGTTCTTTTGAAGTCTCACAGTGGCTGCCTTAGAGACAATAGATGACAGATGTTTCCTATTGAGGCCTTTAAAAGGTGCTAGCCCAAAATCTCCTTCAGCTGATAAGCTACTTCAGCAAAGTCTCAGAATACAAAATCAGTATGCAAAAATCACAAGCATTCCTACCCACCAATAATAGACAAACCGAGAGCCAAGTCATGGGTGAACTCCCATTAACAATTGCTACAAAGAGAATAAAATAGCTAGGAATACAACTTACAAGAGATGAGAAGGACCTCTTCAAGGAGAACTACAAACCACTGCTCAAGAAAATAAGAGAGGACACAAACAAATGGAAAAACATTCCATGCTCATGGATAGAAACAATCAATATTGTGAAAATGGCCATACTGCCCAAAGTAATTTATAGATTCAATGCTATCTCCATCAAGCTATGATCGGCTTTCTTTACAGAATTAGAAAAAAACTACTTTAAATATCATATGGAACCAAAAAAGAGCCCATATAGCCAAAACAATCCTAAGCAAAAAGAACAAAGCTGGAGGCATCACGCTACCTGATTTTAAATTATACTACAAGGCTACAGTAACCAAAACAGCATGGTACTGGAACCAAAACAGAGATATAGACCAATGGAACAGAACAGAGACCTCAGAAATAACACCACACATCTACAACCATCTAATCTTTGACAATCCTGACAAAAACAAGCAATAGGGAAAGGATTCCCCATTTAATAAATGGTGTTGGGAAAACTGGCTAGCCATATGCAGAAAACTGAAACTGGACCCCTTCCTTACACTTATACGAAAATTAATTCAAGATGGATTAAAGACTTAAACGTAAGACCTAAAACCATAAAAACCCTAGGAGAAAACCTAGGCAATACCATTCAGGACATAGGCATGGGCAGAGACTTCATGACTAAAACACCAAAATCAAGGGCAACAAAAGCCAAAATTGACAAATGGGATCTAATTAAACTAAAGAGCTTCTGAACAGCAAAAGAACTATTACCAGAGTGAACAGGCAACCTAGAGAATGGGAGAAAATTTTTGCAATCTATCCATCTGACAAAGAGCTAATATCCAGAATCTACAAAGAACTTAAACAAATTTACAAGAAAAAAACAACCCCATCAAGAAAGTGGGCGAAGGATAAGAACAGACACTTCTCAAAAGAAGACATTTATGTGGCCAACAAACATATGAAAAAAAGCTCATCATCACTGGTCATTAGAGAAATGCAAATCAAAACCACAATGAGATACCACCTCACGCCAGTTAGAATGGTGATCATTAAAAAGTCGGAAAACAACAGGTGCTGGAGAGGATGTGGAGAAATAGGAATGCTTTTACACTGTTGGTGAGAGTGTAAATTAGTTCAACCATTGTGGAAGACAGTGTGGCGACTCCTCAAGGATCTAGAACCAGAAATACCATTTGACCCAGCAATTCCATTACTGGGTATATACCAAAAGGATTATAAATCATTCTATTATAAAGACACATGCATACATATGTTTATCGCAGCACCATTCACAATAGCAAAGACTTGGAACCAACCCAAATGCCCATCAGTGATAGACCGGATAAAGCAAATGTGGCACATATACACCATGGAATACTATGCAGCCCTAAAAAAGGATGAGTTCATGTCCTTTGTAGCGACATGGACGAAGCTGGAAACCGTCATTCTCAGCAAACTAACACAGGAACAGAAAACCAAATACTGCATGTTTTCACTCATAAGTGGGAGTTCAACAATGAGAACACATGGACACAGGGAGCGGACCATCACACACCAGGGCCCGAGGGGCGTGGGGGGCTAGGGGAGGGATACTATTAAGAGAAATACCTAATGTAGATGACAGATCGATGGGTGCAGCAAACCATCATGGCACGTGTATACCTAGGTAACAAACCTGCCCATTCTGCACATGTATCCCAGAACTTAAAGTATAATAATAATAATAAAGAACCCAGTAAGAGGAATCAGGAAGGGGGGAGGGAGAGAGAAGGGAGAGACAGAAATATGCAATTTTAAAGAGAGTAGTGAGGGTAGGCTTTATGATCACGGAAGTCTCTCAATCATTTTGCACCTCACTTTCCACAACCAAAAAAGAAGCTCATAGTAGTATATGATAGTTATGAAAACAAAATGAGCCTATGACATACAACAACACCACACATAAACTGAGAAGTTCTATACATGTATTGATTATAATTAATCTATGAACTGTAATTTTTCTATGTGATCTTTGGCAAATCATTTCTTGTGGCAGACATCCGCATCTGTGGCAGAGACTGCTAGACGTCCCCCATTTCCATGCCTCACACACCCCTTCCCAATAGAGAGTGGGGACTTTCAGTTAGGCACATAGCCACTCAGTATAAAAGTAACATTTCCTAGCTTGCCTCTCACCTGGATGTGGTCAGGTGACTAAGTTCTGGCTAATAGAAAAGGTTTGAAATTTTCTTGTGGTAGATTCCAGAAATCTTCCTTGAGAGACACTGGCATGTTCTTATGGTTCCCACGCTCCTCCTACCATCCCATTTTTTCCATCCTGCTGCATGGGACATAGATATGATAGCTGGAGCTACATAATGGACCATAAGAATGAAGACCACACCCTAAAGATGGTGAAACCTGAAAGTGAAAGGAGGTGGGACCTTGAATAACTTGGGGAGCTGTCTTACCAGCCCTGAACTTTCTACCTCTAATTTTTATGTGATAAATAAGCTTTTTTACATCCTTGTTACTTAGAGTGTGGTCCTCAACCCACCAGCATCATCAGTATTCCTTGCAACCTTGTCAGAACTGCAGATTTTCAGGCCCCATCCTGATGCATCGAATGACAATCTGCATTTTTACAATCCCCAGCTAATCCCTATGCTCAGTAAACTCGGAAAGGAATTAGTTTAAACCACTGTTATTTTATATGTCTCCTTATAGCTGATCATTGTCTCCACTGATAACAATATTTTATTTTATCTGTTCAAATAAGTGGATAGTTGAACAATTCCTGAGATTTTAACCACCTTATGAGTCTATGTCTCTTTGATTTATATTTACATTGAAAATATATTCTTTTTGTTCCTCAATGAAAAATTATTTTAAATATCCAGACATTTTTCTAGCACTGTCCTATAATATACCACCGGTTTCCAAAAAAATCTGCAAACACCATTCACCTAGAGTATAATTTATAGTGGAATGTATTTGATATGGTTTTTCTGTGTCCCCACCCAAATCTCATCTTGAATTGTAGCTCCCATAATTCCCAAATATTGTGGGAGGGACCCAGTGGGAGGTAATTGAATCATGGGGGCAGGTCATGATAGTGAATAAGTCTCATGAGATCTGATGATTTTATAAAGGGGAGTTTCCCTGCACATACTCTCTTTTGCCTGATGACATGTAAGATGTGACTTTGCTCCTCATTCACCTTCTGCCATGATTGTGAGGCCTCCTCAGCCATGTGGAACTGTGAGTCAATTAAACCTCTTTCCTTTATAAATGAAAAAAAAAAAAATGTACTAGACTCTCAGTTAATCTCTTCAGGATTGGGAGGGCCTGGAAGAAAAAGATCTAGCTATGTTAATAGAGATTCTTTACAGATGCAAATTTTCCCCCACAAAGGACAGCTTTGCAAGGCCTTTTCAAAATATGGCAAAGAAACATGTTTTGGGGTAAAGTATTTTGACTTTCTTATTTGTCACATAATGTTATGCCAGAGTCAGACTGGAAAGTAAGTCATGATATACAGGGTTAAATAAACCCATCTGATGAGAATTTATGATTTGTAGGGCATGACTCCCCAGACTCCTTAGACAGGAATTTGGGTAAGATAAAAATAAAATCAGAGCTTAGTCCTCACAGTCTACAAAAATGTAGGCCTAAAAATGTAGATCATAACAACACCTACCTTCAACTTCAAAGGGTTGTTCAAACAGCAGAGTCCTAAAGTGGACTAAAACAACTACCGACAAAATTGCGAGGAAAATCTGACAAATTCAAAATTGATTTTAGGTATAATTTAATATACATGTACCAGAAACTGATAGCTCAATAAAAGAAGTGTTATGAAAACACAAAAGCTTCAAAACTAAAAATTAGCAGGAAAACTTTGTATCTAAGAAATAGAAAATGCACATTTTTTTTCTAATGCCATTCAAAAAGTTTTAAAGCATCTAAAACAGTGCCTGGCACATACTAACCAAGAATTCAATGTATGTCAGCTAGTAACACAGCTATTATTTGAGACCAAAAATTAGAAATCAAGGCCTGTGGAGAAGATGAGAGTAGTGACTTTGTACAGGTTTCAGTGAAAGTCACTGGGAAAAAAGTATTGCCTCAAGTTAAAGAATTTTCTAACGATCAGAGATAACAAAATATGAAACAAGATATATGAATGAGCAGGACGTTCCCAAAAGTAAGAGAAGGAACACATCCACCCTAGGTACAATGCTTGTATATGTGAGGAGATGTGCTCTGCTACAAGGGCTCCTGACTTCTAAATGTGACTTTAATTTACTCACTTGTAAATGGAGGTACAATAAATACCTTCTGCTTAGGATGACAGTAAGAATGGAAATTAGATAAGGTATTTACTTACCAGCAAACAACTAACACAGTACCTGGAACAAAATAGCTGTTCAGTAAATGTTTTTGAAAAAAATAAATAAATAAACAAAAACAGGACCGGAAGCAGGGTAGGTGGAAAGGAAGGAAAAACATTTAAGGATAAAATACAAAGAAAATACATTGCCATGAATAATAAAAATGTGAAATTTTAATATGCAGTGGAGGTGTGATAACACAGATCTCTCTGCTTAACCTGTTTGACTTCTGTCCACAATAAAACCCTTGATAGTGCAAAGATCTTAAAACTGTTTGACCTTCTAAGACACATGGCTGTCTGCATATGCATATACTTATACCATGTAATAAAATGTGAGACAGTCTTATATCCTGCAGACAATTCACAATTGACCTGGCAGTTCTCATCACATATGATAAATTATTTTCTTGATCTGACTTAGATTTCTTAGAAAACATAGTATTGGTGTCAGGCCAATATTGTCACCTTCCAACTACAAAGTCCATCACATAGTTCCCACTATACAATATTGCTTAGCTTATACACAAAACTTTAAATGAGAAATTTATTTGGCTTTTTATTTTTCAGATGTTGAGGTAGTATCTTGTGATAGGTGCTCAGGATAATCCGTATTTATATAAATTGACCCTTGGAGATGGAAGTAAATGTAAACCTCATGTAATACTACCATTCAGTAAGGACACTGACACTCAGAACTTAAAGAAAAAATAAATTATTTTCTGATTTTACTCTACTTAATCTTAGTTACCTGTTCTGTCTACAGTTCAATCACAAGGAAACAAGTTCATGTGGTTACAAGGAGTACTGACATGAATAGTGTCAGGCCTCTGAGCCCAGCTAAGCCATCATATCCCCTGTGACCTGCACATACACACCTAGATGGCCAGTTCCTGCCTTAACCAATGACAGTCCACCACAAAAGAAGTGAAAATGGCCTGTTCCTGCCTTAACTGATGACATTATCTTGTGAAATTCCTTCTCCTGGCTCATCCTGGCTCAAAACGTCCCCTGCTGAGCACCTTGTGACCCCCCACTCCTGCCTGCCAGAGAACAACCCCACTTCTTCCTTTACCTACCCAAATCTTATAAAATGGCCCCACCCTATCTCCCTTTGCTGACTGTCTTTCGGACTCAGCCCGGTTGCACCCAGGTGAAATAAACAGCCTTGTTGCTCACACAAAGCCGGTTTGGCGGTCTCTTCACACAGACGTCCATGAAATTTGGTGCCGTGACTCGGATCGGGGGACCTCCCTTGGGAGATCAATCCCCTGCTCTCCTGCTCTTTGCTCCGTGAGAAAGATCCACCTATGACCTCAGGTCCTCAGACCGACCAGCCCAAGGAACATCTCACTAATTTCAAATCTGGTAAGTGGCCTCTTTTTACTCTCTTCTCCAACCTCCTTCACTATCCCTCAACCTCTTTCTCCTTCAATCTTGGCACCACACTTCAATCTCTCCTTTCTCTTAACTTCAGTTCCTTTCCTTTTCTGGTAGAGACAAAGGAGATGCGTTTTATCCATGGACCCAAAACTCCGGCGCCGGTCACGGACTCAGGAAGGCAGGCTTCCCTTGCTGTTTAATCATTGCGGGACGCCTCTCTGATTATTCACCCACGTTCCATTGGTGTCTGATCTCCGTGGGGATGCCTGCCTTGATCATTCACCCATGTTCCCTTGGTGGCAAGTCAATTGCGGGGACGCCTGCTTTGGCTGCTCACCCACATTGCAGCCCAGAGCTGCTCCCCACCCCCTTCTCCGTGTCTCTACCCTTCTCTTTAAACTTGCCTCCTTCACTATAGGCAACCTTCCACCCTCCATTCCTCCTCCTCCCTTAGCCTGTATTCTCAAGAACTTAAAACCTCTTCAACTCACACCTGACCTAAAACCTAAACACCTTATTTTCTTCTACAATGACACTTGACCCCAATACAAACTCGACAGTAGTTCCAAATAGCCAGAAAATGGCACTTGCTATTTTTCCATCCCACAAGATCTAAATAATTCTTGTCGTAAAATAGGCAAATGGTCTGAGGTGCCTGACGTCCAGGCATTCTTTTACACATTGGTCCCTCCCTAGTCTCTGTTCCCAATGCAACTCGTCCCAAATCTTCCTTCTTTCCCTCCTGCCTGTCCCCTCAGTCCCAACCCCAAGTGTCACTGAGTCTTTCTAATCTTCCTTTTCTACAGATCCATCTGACCTCTCCCCAGCTCGGCAGGCCAAGCTAGGTCCCAATTCTTCCTCAGCCTCTGCTCCTCCACCCTATAATCCTTTTATCACCTCCCCTCCTCACACTCGGTCTGGCTTACAGTTTCATTCTGTGACTAGCCCTCCCCCACCTGCCCGGCAATTTCCTCTTAAAAAGGTGGCTGGAGCTAAAGCCATAATCAAGGTTAATGCTCCTTTTTCTTTATCGCAAATCAGATAGCATTTAGGCTCTTTTTCATCAAATATAAAAATCCAGCCCAGTTCATGGCTTGTTTGGCAGCAACCCTGAGATGCTTTACAGCCCTAGACCCTAAAAGGTCAAAAGGCCATCTTATTCTCAATATACATTTTATTACCCAATCCACTCCCAACATTAAATAAAACTCCAAAGACTAAATTCCAGCCCTCAAACCCCTCAACAGGACTTAATTAACCTTGCCTTTGAGGTGTACAATAATAGAGTAGAGGCAGCCAAATAGCAACATATTCCTGAGTTGCAATTCCTTGCCTCCACTGTGAGACAAACCCCAGCCACATCTCCAGCACACAAGAACTTCCAAACGCCTAAACCGCAGTGGCCAGGCATTCCTCCAGAACTGCCTCCCCCAGGAGCTTGCTACAAGTGCCAGAAATCTGGCCACCAGGCCAAGGGATGCCCGCAGCCCAGGATTCCTCCTAAGCCACATCCCATCTGTGCAGGACCCCACTGGAAATCAGACTGTCCAACTCACCTGGCAGCCACTCCCAGAGCCCCTGGAACTCTGGCCCAAGGCTTTCTGACTGACTCCTTCCCAGATCTTCTCGGCTTAGCAGCTGAAGACTGACACTGCCCAATGGCCTCAGAAGCCCCCTAGACCATCATGGATGCCGAGCTTCGAATAGCTCTCACAGTGGAAACTAAGTCCGTCCCCTTCTTAATCAATACGGAGGCTACCCACTCCACATTACCTTCTTTTCAAGAGTCTGTTTCCCTTGCCTCCATAACTGTTGTAGGTATTGATGGCCAGGCTTCTAAACCTCTTAAAACTCCCCAACTCTGGTGCCAACTTAGACAATACCTTTTTAAGCACTCCTTTTTAGTTATCCCCACCTGCCCAGTTCCCTTATTAAGCTGAGACATTTTAACTAAATTATCTGCTTCCCTGACTATTCCTGGACTACAGCCACATCTCATTGCCACCTTTCTTCCCAATCCAAAGCCTCCTTTGTGTCCTCCTCTTGTACCTGCCCCCCCCACCTTAACCCACAAGTATAGGATACCTCTACTCCCTCCTTGGTGACCGATCATGCACTCCTTACCATCTCATTAAAACCTAATCACCCTTACCCCGCTCAATGCCAATATCCCATCCGCAGTGCACTTTAAAAAGATTAAAGCCTGTTATCACTCGCCTGCTACAGCATGGCCTTTTAAAGCCTATAAACTCTCCTTACAATTTCCCCATTTTACCTGTCCTAAAACCAGACAAGCCTTACAAGTTAGTTTAGGATCTGCGCCTTATCAACCAAATTGTTTTGCCTATCCATCCTGCGGTGCCAAACCCATAGACTCTCCTATCCTCAATACCTCCCTCCACAACCCATTATTCTGTTCTGGATCTCAAACATGCTTTCTTTACTATTCCTTTGCACTCTTCGTCCCAGCCTCTCTCTGCTTTCACTTGGACTGACCCTTGGACTGACCCTGACATGCATCACGCTCAGCAAATTACGTGGGCTGTACTGCCGCAAAGCTTCACAAACAGTCCCCATTACTTCAGTCAAGCCCAAATTTCGTCCTCATCTGTTACCTATCTCGGCATAATGCTCATAAAAACACACGTGCTCTCCCTGCCAATCATGTCTGACTGATCTCTCAAACCCCAACACCTTCTACAAAACAACTCCTTTCCTTCCTAGGCATGGTTACATACTTTCAACTTTAGATACCTGGTTTTGCCATCCTAACAAAACCATTATATAAACTCACAAAAGGAAACCTAGCTGACCCCATAGATCCTAAATCCTTTTCCCACTCCTCTTTCCATTCCTTGAAGACAGCTTTAGAGACTGCCCCCACCCTAGCTCTCCCTGACTGATCCCAACCCTTTTCATTACCCACAGCCGAAGTGCAGGGCTGTGCAGTCAGAATTCTTACACAAGAACCGGGACCGTGCCCTGTAGCCTTTTTATGCAAACAACTTGACCTTACTGTTTTGCCTAGCCCTCAAGTCTGCGTGCAGTGGCCGCCACGACCCTAATACTTTCAGAGGCCCTTAAAATCACAAACTATGTTCAACTCGCTCTCTACAGTTCTCATAACTTCCAAAATCTATTTTCTTCCTGACACCTGACACATATACTTTCTGCTCCCCAGCTCCTTCAGCTGTACTCACTCTTTGTTGAGTCTCCCACAATTATCATTGTTCCTGGCCCAGACTTCCATCCGGCCTCCCACATTATTCCTGATACCACACCTGACCCCTATGACTGTATCTCTCTGATCCACCTGACATTCACCCCATTTCCCCGTATTTCCTTCTTTCATGTTCCTCACCCTGATCACACTTGGTTTATTGATGGCAGTTCCACCAGGCCTAATCGCCACACACCAGCCAAGGCAGGCTATGCTATAGTAGAAGCCACTAGCCTACCTCTTAGAACCTCTCATTTCCTTTCCATCATGGAAATCTATCCTCAAAGAAATAACTTCTCAGTGTTCCATCTGCTATTCTACTATTTCTCAGGGATGATTCAGGCCCCCTCCCTTCCCTACACATCAAGCTCAGGGATTTGCCCCCACCCAGGACTAGCAAATTTGCTATTCTACTACTTCTCAGGGATTATTCAGGCCCCCTCCGTCCCTACACATCAAACTCAAGGATTTGCCCCTGCCCAGAACTGGCAAATTGACTTTACTCAACACGCCCCGAGTCAGGAAACTAAAATACCTCTTGGTCTAGGTAGACACTTTCACTGGATAGGTAGAGGCCTTTCCCACAGGGTCTGAGAAGGCCACCATGGTCATTTCTTCCCTTCTGTCAGACATAATTCCTCGGTTTGGCCTTCCCACCTCTATACAGTCCGATAGCAGACCGGCCTTTATTAGTCAAATCAGCCAAGCAGGTTTTCAGGCTCTTGGTATTCAGTGAAACCTTTATATCCCTTATGGTCCTCAGTCTTCAGGAAAGGTAGAATGGACTAAAGGTCTTTTAAAAACACACCTCACCAAGCTCAGCCACCAACTTAAAAAGGACTGGACGATACTTTTACCACTTTCCCTTCTCAGAATTCATGCCTGTCCTCAGAATGCTACAGGGTACAGCGCATTTGAGCTCCTGTATAGACGCTCCTTTTTATTAGGCCCCAGTCTCATTCCAGACAGCAGACCAACTTGGACTGTGCTCCAAAAAACTTGTCATCCCTACTATCTTCTCTCTAGTCATACTCCTATTCACCATTCTCAACTACTCATACATGCCCTGCTCTTGTTTACACTGCCGGCTTACACTGTTTCTCCAAGCCATCACAGCTGATATCTCCTGGTGCTATCGCCAAACCACCACTCTTAACTCTTAAAGTAAATAAATAATCTTTGCTGGCAAGGCTATTCTGAATCTCCTTAGGCATTCTTTAATTAGATGTCCTAGGTCCTCCCAATTCTTAGTCCTTTAATACCTGTTTTTCTCCTTCTCTTATTCCGTTCAGTTTTTCAATTCATACAAAACAGCATCCAGGCCATCACCAATAATTCTACATGACAAATGTCTCCTCTAACAACCCCACAATATCACCCCTTACCACAAAATCTTCCTTCAGCTTAATCTCTCCCACTCTAAGTTCCCAAGCCGCCCCTAATCCTGCTCGAAGCAGCCCCGAGAAACACCGCCCGTTATCTCTCCATACCACCCCCCAAAATTTTCGCCATCCCAACACTTTACCACTATTTCATTTTATTTTTCTTATTAATATAAGAAAACAGGAATGTCAGGCCTCTGAGCCCAAGCTAAGCCATCATATCCCCTGTGACCTGCACATACACATCCAGATGGCTGGTTCCTGCCTTTACTGATGACATTCCACCACAAAAGAAGTGAAAATGGCCTGTTCCTGCCTTAACTGATGACATTATCTTGTGAAATTCCTTCTCCTGGCTCAAGACCTCCCCTACTGAGCACCCCGTGACACCCCCCACTCCTGCCTGCCAGAGAACAACCCCCTTTTTCCTTTAAACGCAAATCTTATCAAACGGGCCCACCCCTATCTCCCTTCGCTGACTCTCTTTTCGGACTCGGCCTGCCTGCACCCAGGTGAAATAAACAGCCTTGTTGCTCACACAAAGCCTGTTTGATGGTTTCTTCACACAGACGTGCATGAAAAATAGGAACCATGGAAAATACTTTAGAAGAGACATACCTTAGTAACTACCAATAAAAGTCATATAAAATTAAGCTATTTATGTCTTTAATCAATCATCCTTGTGAACAATGTCTTGTTGAGCTTGTTACACACACACACACACACACACACACACACACACACACGGTTACAGAATTTTTAATACCATAAATTCTTTCTTTCTTTTTAGATCACTGCCAGCTGTGGGGTTAGAGATGATTAAAACAAAACAAAACAAACAAACAAAAAAAGCCTTATTTCAAAAACGCTGTTTTATCAAAAGATGAAAATTTAATCTCATTTGGGCATATAGGCAACTGGACTACCGACAGATGAAGAAGAAAGCAATGAGGTATTTTCTCAAGGAGAAAATGTCACAAGAAAAGACACATAAGAAAGAAGAGATGTTTAGTGGATTTCAGAAAACACTTGAAGATAAGGCAGCATGTAGCATGTGGAACATGCTAGCTCCACACAAAAACCAAATACTTGAAGTCACATAGAAGGAACAACAATTTCAAATGCTAGGTAATGAATAAACTGAATGACCTAATATTTCAATTTTCTGCATTCAAGTAGATAATGCTGAATGCAATTAACAACCTATGCACTTCCAATTACCCATCCTTATATAGTTTGTGCTCAAATATTTTATCATAAAGCAATAAACCAACTTTTTCTTCAAATGACTTACTTGACATGTGATGGGCTGATGGTCTATGCTACAGTCCTAAATAAAAGATTCTAAATGGTTAAATGGGCTATGAATTGAGGGAAATCCAGCATTACATTAACAACTCAAAAGAATCCCAGAGCAAAGGTATTGTGAATATCTTGTCCAATAGGAGGCTTGTATTTTCATTTTGTATGAGATCCCTTTTGAATAGCAAGAATTCTTAATTTTAAAATATTTGAATTCCCTAGTATTATCTCTTATGGTTAAGATTTCTTTAACATTGCTGAGAAATCATCCCTACAGTATTTCAGAAATATACTTCTTTATATGTCTTTAAATGTTTAAGTTTAGGTTTTATATTTAAATCTCTAGTCTAATCATAGTTGATACTTTGTAACAAGGAGAAATCTCCTATTTCTATGGATTGGCTAATCTGAAATTTTTGGAGAATGCCCGGAATAGTTTTCATAAAATTACAGACTCTCAAAAACTTACAGGCTGTCTACTCCACTATTCCAATACAGTATTTAACCCATCACTAAAATATCACTGTTGACTTTGCTATTGCTGTTGTTACATTTTTGTTTTTACAGCCTCTTCCCTTGGGATTGGAACAGTCATAACCTTTGATTCATAATGCATTCTGATCTTTCTTCCAGTTATGACCCTCTTTTATTTTAGTTTGTTTTTAATAATGAAATAAACATCTACCACCTGCCCAAGAATGAGAACATTATCAATGAATGACAACTACCTATGTGTTCTTTCTCCATCCTCGCCTCCTGCTCCCGCATAGCCATATATATGGAAATATAGTATTGATATGTATGGAAAATATAATTTTTATATATATTCTTTTTTCCACATTTTCTGAAAATTTCTTCTTTTGCCACTGATTTGCCATACACATAAATTATATATCGAAGTCCTCTATATTCCATGGGTCTGTTTTATGGGGTTACGGGGTTTCTATTCTTGCACAAATGTGACATATTCTGAAAGAAAATTACTTTCTTACTGATGTGCAATAGTGTAATTCCTCTCTTCAATACACTGTTGATTAAATGAGTAATAGTGGTTATGCTTATCTTATTCCTGATTTTCAATTCTTCAAATGTTTCCTCATTTGAAATAATAATTTATGTAATTTTGGATAAATATTTTATACAAAATTAAATAAGTTTATTTCTATTTCTTTCTTTCTATTTCTATAATGACTACGTGTTTAAACATATTAAATACTTTTTCTGTCCATTGAGATGACAGAGTGGTTTGTCCTTGAACCTGTGAGTGTGAAAGAATATTTACAAAAATTTAATATTCAACCATTCTTTCATCCCTGGGATAAGCTTATACGCACTATTGATTTTGGCTTACTTATCCTCTTTTGAAAAATACTGGCACCTCCTCCTCTCCCTTTTGTTCCCTCTGTCACCATGTGACACTTCTGCTCCCCCTTTGCCTTCTGCCATGACTGGAAGCTTCCTGAGGCTTCCCCAGAAGCCAACTAGATGCTGGAGCCATGACTTGGACAGTCTGCAGAATGGTGAGCCAAATAAACCTCTTTGCCTTATAAGTTACCCAGCTGCAGGTATTCCTTCACAGTGAGGCAAAATGGACTAAATAAAAATGGTAATAGAATTTGTTTGATTGCTTCTCTTCCCTCAACAAAGTATGATGTGATGTTATATGCTAGGATAGCCAATGAAGGGTTAAAATATGATTGAAATAACTTGGGGAATTTTCAGTTTATTATATACTTCAGTGAGCTTGGATGGTTTTGTATCTAAGAAGGAAATAGAGAAGAAATATATAAGTTTAACAGAAATCAAAAAGTAAAAGTTTAAAGGAACCATAGAGTTGTGTATTTTTTTTTAATCCAAACTGTTAATCATATAGATGAGAAGTGAGACCAAATGACATCATTTGATTTGCCCCAGGCCACCGTCACAGACAGGATTAGGACCCTTCTCCTCTGGAATGTCCTCTCTATTCTAGATTTAGCAAGATCATAGAAAATTTGAAGGGTATCTTAAACTGTTCTAATTTCCTTTGTTTGTATTTTTGCCCCTCCAGTGGAAGGGTCATACGAAACCAGACAATGGTAACTGAATTCACCCGGTCTCCCTTCCTGCTGTCCAGGAGCTTCAGATTTGGCTATGTGTCCTTCTCTGGCTGGTTCATATGCTCACCATAACAGGAAACCTTTTCGTCATTTTCTTAACGTGGACAGATAATTGTCTCCAAACCCCAATGGACTTGTTCCTTAGAAAAAAGTCATATCGTTCTCTGGCTGCATCACCCAAATATATTTCTACTTCTTTCTAGGGACAGTGGCGTTTATCCCCTTGGCAGTGACATCCTTCAAACACTGCATGGCAACCTGTGACCCCCTGTGCAGCACCATCATTGCAAAAAGCAGGGCCTGCCTCCTGCTGGCTCTGGGATGCTGGATGGGAACCTTCCTGGCTGTGTTGCGCCTGACTATTGTGGTGTCCAGGTTGCCAGACTGTACTGAAAAAATTAGTCCCTTCTTCTGTGACATTGCCTCTTTACTGCAGGTGGCCTGTATTGATATTCATTTCATTGAGATGATAAGCTTCCTTTGATCATCTCTTATGGTCCTGACCTCGCTGGTGCTTAATGCCACATCCTACGCCTACATCATTTCTCCCTCCTGTGCATCCCCTCAGCCCAAGGATGTCAGGAGGCCTTTTCCACCTGTGCTTCACACATCACCATCATCTTTATTGCCTGCCGAAACTCCATCTCCACGTGTGTGAGGCCTAACCCGAGGTATTAGCTGGATTTTGACAAAGTGACAGCTATCCTCACTATAGTAGTGACTTCTTTTCTGAATCCCCGCATTTATAGCTTGAGGTAAAGGAAGTATGAAGGGAGTCAATTTGCACAATACTGTCACCACATTCCAAAGGAACATGACACTAAGCAACTTCAGGACATCTAAGCTATGCTGCCTCTGTATGGCACCTCGTTCACGTGAACGGCGGTACAGAAGTGAGGCATTATGTAGGCAGAATGAATAAGCATCACACATCACTAACAGTGAAATATTATAACCTTGATATGAAAGCCAGGAAAAAAAAGTAAAGATTCTATGTCCTCATTGTCTCTGAAATATTTTTCATGTAGTAATACGGAATGGCAGAAAAACTCGAGACCCTGAGTTATAAGAGCTAATGTCTAACATTTGTTTAGCCACTAAATGTCCATGGAGTTAGATTAGTTATATTACTTCTCTAAGCTCTTGCTCGTCTCTAAAATGATGGCAGGAATTTCTGCTGTTTACCTTACATGACGCTTGTGGCTCTTAAATGAGATCATTCATATAAAGTAACAACATGTCATCACATGTGGACATTGGAAGAGTGAAAAATAACGAGCTTTCACTAGCCTGAAATGCTTCCTTTTAAATAATCTTGACTATGTTAAGAGGCAAAATATTTAATTCTCCTAGCCAATACGGCAAAGAGACAAGTTTAAAAGATTGATTAATGAAAAGACTATATCATCCTATGCTGTTTCTAGGGAAAAGGTCTATCCTGCACACAAGTCAGGTATACACCTGCTGTGGCATTGGGAGCCTCAGATTATCTTTACCTAGTTCCATTAAACATTTTATTTGGTTACTAATGTCCTTTGTTCTGACTCAAGTTTCACTAAATACCTATGTACCTACTTTGTTTTCCCATATACTTTTTCTATTTGGAGGAAATATTCTGGCAAAAGCAAAAGTTGTGTAGCTGTCTAGCACTATCTTTGTTATTGTAAATTAATTTCTATTCTGATTAATGTGAGTCATCTCTAAATGTAGTTTCTACACACTGTGATCACAAATAAAAATGTGATTAATTTACCAACACAGTATGACTTTAAAGACTATATTTGGAAAGCAGGATCACCTTTTAAGTCTATTATTGTTTCCCGTAACTATGTATATAGCTCTTTTCTTCAAATTTTTATGCTTTGTTGAGGTTTTATTAGTTAGAAAGGGCAACGATGCAGTGTGACCAGTGTCACCAGGAAAGGGTAGGATGCAGAAGGCTGTTAAGCAAGGTTAGAAATAGGAATGTCACCGTGGATGTTGATACTGTTGCTAAGTATCCTAGAGAATCAGAGAGCTTGGTTTGCGTCAAAGAGGGGTGAGATGTTCAACAACTAAGCATAACCTTAACAACTGAAACAGGATTCAATATAAAGAAGGAAACATCACTTTGCCACTGTAAAAAGAATTATGGTAATGTATAAGAAAAAAGTAGCCCCTATCACCCAGAACTGCTCTGAGGTTCAAAGATAGGCCCTAATGTGAGTACAAACTGATCTGATGCTCACAGCTACGATTTTCTCTCATTGCCCGTTAACAAGCTCACCAAACATCCATTTCAGACAAGATCATCATGTGGCACAAAATACCAAACATCACCTTTTCTCACCAAATGAATGACTGCTGTCTCTTTACCAATTATACCTTTATCTCACTCTGTCTACCCTCACTATAGATAAGGTATTTTGAGATACTCAGTAATAGAATTGCCTCATTTTTCTAACAATGCTTAATCCAGAGCAAGCCCCTACTTTTTTAGATACTTCCTGAAAGTACCAGAGCCCAAATCCTGTAGCTGGTACACCCTCTTATTTAAATATTCTATGGTTCCCCACGGTGTGGGCTCTTCTCATGGTGATGATTAATTAAACCCTACTTGTTTAACTATAGGTATGTTGCTGGTAGTCTTTGGCATAAGAACACTGATTTGTAGAGAAACATAAGGCTCGGATAAAAGGCAAACAAACCTTAAAGCCTCTGAATCTAGAGAACCCCAAAAGTAAGAAAAAGTGTTTGAAAATACAGAATGGTGTAAAAATAGTACCATGAAAAGAACTGAGAGTCTACCTCTGGCTCTGCATCACCTGGTGAGTTTGACAATCCTAATGAGAATGAATCAGTGATTAAATAAAACCACATCGTATAATTCAGATTATATTAATTATGTCTTTGTATGACTAAAGGGTTTTGTTTACTCACAACACTGTTTTTGTCTTCTTAGTTATAAATAATACTTACGTTGCTAAACCCCTAGGTTAAAGAACTCTACTGAGGTCTTGTTCATGCAAAACACCTACCCCTAAGTGAACACAGCAAATATTTTTTTCTGCATTTGGTGCCAGAAGCCTATGAGAGCCTCAGTTATACTAATACCTGTAACCCAGGTGGTAGGAAAAGAGAATAGTCCTCTGATAAGAAATTGCAGATAATTCTGTCTGTGTAACACTTTGTAATCGGACATATCTTATTTTGATTATTTCTTACTCAAATTTTATTTTGATTTATACTTTTCCTTGGAATGCTATTTCCTTATGCTCCAAGGTCCCCACCAAACACCGAAAGAGATCAATTTAACTTCTTTTATGGATTCAATGTAGTAAAACAGTCTTCATTTATTAGATTGTTTCATGACATTTTGTGACAGTTGGAAGATATTACATTACCTAAAGCCTCGTCATCTACAAAATCAGTGACAGTATGACTTTTTAAGGGTCTTCTTTTATGTTTGTTCCTCATTACTCACCATTCTCATCACTGGTTTAAGAGAGAGCTGTCAGAAGACTACCCCAAGTCTGTGGGATAACAGTTCTTTAAACACAAGTTTCTATCCTATAGACTAAAATGCAAAGCCCAAATTACTTATGTGGGTTTTTTTTTCTACTCATGCACATCGTGTTAAAATCCCAATAAAGATAAGATTCAAGCTTCAGTATCTGACTTCAGTCACACACGTAAAAATGTCTAGCATGGTCTTATTTGCTTTGAACAGACCCGTATCCCAACCAGTTTGTACAGCGGTGGTCTGGATTGGAGGTGAAGTTATGTTCAAGTGCAAAGAGGAAGTTGCTTTCACTTGGATACAACAAAAGGCCTATAGGCCTATAGGTAAATATGGAACTAAATATTTAGAAAAGGAACTTTCAAAACCTCTTCATTCATTCATAATTAAATTGCACTTCAAAATTTCTCATAGGCTGAAATGAAATACTCCAAATAGTTAACATAGATTAATTTGAGTAATACGATGGCTGGCATTTTTCCATCACTCTACTTTTCTACATTTCCTACATTTTCGTACCCAGAATACATACATTTAAATTTTTTTAATTAAATGAGAATTTTGTTATGAAGAGGTCAAATTTATTTTACCACTAATGCACAGGAAACTAAGAAGGGACTCTCATATTTGGTTAAATAAATAGGATATTATCTTATTCTATCTGTTTTAAACTCTCAAGGTTCACGTTCTTTAATGTAGTGTCCATTTTGTGAGTAGAAATAAATATCTAAAACTTCCTGCTTTTTAAAAACTCATTTTTTTGTCTTCTAGTTGTAAGTAAATGTCCTAAGGGACTGTTTTTTTTTTTTTTCTTTAAGTTCAAAGTTTGGAAATTAATCCTGAGGGAAATGTACTGAGCCAAAGTGAACTGATTGCAACTTTTACTGGTTTTGAATTATCTCCACTGGCAGCAAGTTAGTAATGAAGTTCCTAAGTGGTAACGGCAACAAAATAATGCAGTATTTAATCTGGGAGTCTAGATCCCATATCCAACATAAATAAGTCACAGCTTTGGGGCAGAATTTAAATTATTAATACAAAAGTCATAGACTAACCCATCAACAAAGGATGATTATCGTGAGATCCAAGGTCCCACCACAAGTGATGATTCTGACAACTTTTGAAAGAATGTATTATTTGTGAATATTTATGAAGCACCACAACTTGATATACTTTGGGGCCATGTGCAAAGTAGCACATCAAGAGAGAAATTGAAAGTGACACGAGCAAGATGGTAAATTAGGAAGTACAGCCCTCATCTCCCCATGGAAACACTGATTTACTATTCACATATGGGACAAAATACTTTTATGAGATCCCAGAACTCAGTTAAGAAATTGCAGCACTGTAGACAAACATATAACCAAAAACAGCTGCATTGAAACAGGTAAGAAGAGCAGTTTCACTTTATCCACATCAGTCCCTGTCCCCAAGCTAGCACAGTTCAATGCCCTGAGAGAGCTCCTCATCACGTGATTTCTCCCTCAGGACCAAGAGGGAGTGAAGCTCGCATCCAATGTGCCCAGCAGTTAGGGGAGCTTCCTGAGATACCTGTTTCTCTCACTTCCCTCAAAGCATTGAGAGGACTTAGAATGATAGGGTAAGAACAAAAATGATTAAATCAGCAATCAAAAACCTCCCAAGAAAAACAACCACAGAAAAAAAAAAAAAGGGGGGCCCACGATCAGATGCCTTCATGGATGAATTCTACTAAATACTTAAAGAATAATTAATACCAATTATATGATTTGGCGCTGTGTCCCCACCCAAATCTCATCTTGAATTGTAATAATCCCCATGAGTCAAGGGTGGGGCCAGATGGAGATAATTGAATCATGGGGACAGTTTCCTCCATACTGTTCTCATGATCGTGAATAAGTCTGATGGTTTTATAAATGGGAGTTCCCCTGCACAAGCTCTCTTGCCTGCCACCATGTAAGATGTGCCTTTCTCCCCCTTTGTCTTCCACCATGATTATGAGGCCTCCCCAGCCATGTGAAACTGTGAGTCCACTAAACCTCTTTTTCTTTATAAATTACCCCATCTTGGGTATGCCTTTATTAGCAGCATGAGAACAGACTAATACAACCAATTATTCTCAAACTCTTCCAAAAAACTGAAGAGGAAGGAACACCTTCAAACCCATTGTATGAGGCCAGCCAAACAGAGACAGGAAAAAACAAACAGAGACACTACAAGAGACAAAGCTAAAGAGAGACACTGCAAGAAAAGAAAACTATAGGCCAAATATACCTTACGAACACAGATGCAGACTTGTGTGGTTGCTTCATAGTGTCACTGGTCTGTGTACTTCACTGTGTTGTGTAGTGGCTGGTAACAATTTTTCCTTTCCATATTTAGTGCTTCCTTCAGGAGTTCTTGCCAGGCAGGTCTGGTGGTGACTAATTCCCTCAGCATTTGCTTGTCTGTAAAGGATCTTATTTCTCCTTCACTTATGAAGCTTAGTTTGGCTGGATATGAAATTCTGGGCTGGAAATTCTTATCTTTAAAAATACTGAATATTGGCCCCCGATCTCTTCTGGCTTGTAGGGTTTCTGCTGAGAGATCCTCTGTTAGTCTGATGAGTTTCCCTTTGTAGATGACCTGGTCTTTCTCCCTGGCTGCCCTTAACAGTTTTTCTTTCATTTTGACCTTGGAGAATCTGATGAACACGTGTCTTGGGGTTGATCTTCTCATGGACTATCTTACTGGGGTTCTCTGGATTTCCTGAATTTGAATGTTGGCCTGTCTTGCTAGATTGGGGAAGTTCTCCTGGATGATATCCTGAAGTATGTTTTCCAATTTGATTTCATTCTCCTTGTCTATTTCAGATACGCCAATCAATTGTAGGTTTGGTCTTTTTACATAGTCTCAAATTTCTCAGAGGTTTTGTTTGTTGCTTTTCATTCTTTTTTCTCTATTCTTGTCAGCCTGTCTTATTTCAGAAAGATAGTCTTCAAACTCTGAGATTCTTTCCTCCACTTGGTCTATTCTGCTACTGATAGTTGTGATTGCATTGTAAATTTCTCATGTTGTGTTTTCCAGCTCCATCAGGTCAGTTACGCTCTTGTCTAAACTGGCTATTCTGGTTATCAGCTCCTGTATTTTTTAATCATGATTCTTAGCTTCTTTGCATTGGGTTACAACATGCTCCTTTAGCTCAGTGAAGTTCACTATTACCCACTTTTCGAAGCCTACTTCTGCCAAGTCATCCATCTCAGCCTCAGCCCAATTCTGTGCCCTTGCTGGAGAGGTGTTGCAGTCATTTGGAAAAAGGCACTCTGACTTTTTGAGTTTTCAGCATTTTGCATTAATTCTTTCTCATCTTTGTAGGCTTATCTACCTCTGATCTTTGAGGTTGCTAACCTTTGAATGGGGTTTTTGTAAGGTCTTTTGTTGTTGTTGTTGATATTGTAGTTGTCTTCTGTTTGTTTTTCTTTTAACAGTCAGGCCACTCGACTATAGGGCTGCTGCGGTTTGCTGGGGGTCCACTCCAGACCCCACTCTCTTTGGCCTCTCCTGCATCTGCAGGAGGCAGCTGGGGTCCCCCACTGGAAGATCTCACCCAGTCAGGAGGGACAGGATCAAGAACCCACCCCATGAAGAAGTCTGGTTGCTTCTTGGTAGAGCAAACATGTTGTGCTGGGTCGGGGGAAGCCTCTTTCATGAATATGGGACTGCCCATATTCTCCTCAGCCAGCAGGACAAAATGGCTGAGTTTAGGGAACTGCAGAGATGGCGGATGCTCCTCCCCTTGGGAGTTCCCTCCTAAGGAGAGATTAGATCTCTGTCTGCAGAGCTGAGGACCCACCCAGTAAGGAGAAGTGGGTCGGGGTCCCGGTTAAAGAAGTAGTCTGGCTAAAGAAGCAGTCTGTCCACCATCTGGTAAGGCAGCTATACTGTGCCCCGGGGTCCTTTCCTTTTCTGTGCCCCTGGCAGGCTGGGATGGCTGAGTCTACAGAACCACAGATATGGTGGTCATCCCTCCTACCAGGAACTCCCTGCCAGGGAGAGATCGGAGTTCTGTCTGTGGAACAAAGGACCCACGCAGTAAGGAGGACTATGTCAGGGCCCAGGTTAAAGAAGCAGTCTGGCCCCGATCTGGCAAGGCCATTGTGCTGCACCGTGGGGGCCCCTATTCATCTGGACTGTATGCGTTCTCCACAGCCAGCAAGCTGGAATGGCTGTTTCCCTCTGAACCATAAAGATGGTGGCCGTCCTTCCCTTCAGGAACAAGGTCTTGTCTCCAGCCGACTTAACCCTCTGCCCTTGGCTGGCCAGATTCTAACCCAGTGGGTCTTAACCCATGAGGTACTATGGAAGTGGGGCCTACAGAACGATGCTGCTTGACTCCCTGTATTCAGCCTCCTTCCTAGGGATGTGTATAGAAGGATTTTCCACCTTGTCAGTATCTCTGGCCCGAGCATGCAAAACTCCTGGGTCTTTGTATGTGTGTAAGTGGCTATTTTGCCAGGACTCTGCCCAGCTTTGTGTAACAAACCCAAGGCCCTTGTGATGTGGGCTCATGAGGGGATCTTCTGCTCCACAGGTTGCAAAGACCTGTGGGAGAAGCATGGCTTCCCAGGTGAGTCACACAAACACTCACCACCTTCCCTGGCTGAGGATGAGGGTTTCTTTGGCCCCAAGCTTCTCCTGGGTGGGCCATCACTGCACCCCCCACCTCAAACCTGCTTCTCCCCACTCTCTGTGGATCTTAACTGCTTGCCTATTCATTCCTAATATGATAACCTGGATATTTCAATTGAAGGTATTGTATTCACTTGCCCCTTTTCATTCCTCTCCATGAGTGCCATGGACCACAGCTACATCTAACTGGCCATTTTGTCCCCAACCCAAAATGTCTTAATGCAACTCAGCATCAACTCAAAAGTCCAAAGTCTTCAATTTAATCTGAGAGTCAAGGCCATGTTTCTTCCACCTATGAACATGTAAAATCAAAACAAGATATTTACTCTAAAGACACAATGGTGGTAAAAGCAATGTGTAGACATTTCCCATTTAAATAGAGAGAAATTGGCCAAAAGAAAGAGGCAACTGGCCCACACAAATTTGAAACCCAGCAGGCAGACATTAAATCTTAAAGCTCCAGTGTAATCTCCCTTGACTCCATGTCCCACATTCTGGGCACACTGATGTGAGGGGTGCACTCTGAAGACCTTACACAGTTCCACCCCTGCATCTTTGCAGGGTGCAGCCCCTGTGGCTGCTCTCACAGGCTGGAGTTAAGTGCTTGCAGCTTCTCTGGGCTCAAGGTGCAAGCTGCCACTAGCTCTACCATTCAGGGGTCTGGTGGGTGATGGCCCCATTCCCACAGGCAGTGCCCCATAGGAGTCTCCATGTAGAGGCTCCAACACCACATTTCCCTTCAGCACTGCTCTAGTAGAGTCTCCGTGCAAGGGCTCCACCTGAAGCAAGCTTCTGCCTGGGCACCCAGGCCTTTCAGTATTTCCTCTGAAATCTAGGTGAAAGCTGCCAAGCCTCCTTCACTCCTGCATTCTGTGTAACTGCAGGCTTAACATCATGTGGAAGCCACCAAGGCTTACAGCTTGTGCCCTCTGGAGCTGTGACCTGAGCTGTACCTGGGTCTTATTGAGCCATGACTAAAGGTGGAACAGCCATGATGCAGGGAGTGGTGTCCCTAGGTGGCACTGGGCAGCACCGCAGGCCTTGCCCAGAGTGGGGATGTCCTAAAGGCCTCTGGGCCTGTAATGGAAGGGGGATGTCCTAAAGACTTCTGAAATGCCTTTAAGGCCTTTTGCCCATTGTCTTGGCTATTAGTACTTGGCTCCCTTTTAGTCATGCTAATCTTTCTGGCAAGTGGTGGCTCTGCAAGCCACTTGGATTCCTTCTCTACCACACCGCCAGGCTGCAAATGTTCTAAACTTTTGTGTACTGCTTCTCTTTTAAATATAAGTTACAATTTTAAGTAATTATTTTGTTTGATATCTGATCCCAGGCTGTCATAAGCAGGCAGGCCACATCTTGAATGCTTTGCTGCGTATAAGTTTCTTCTGCCACTCTTAAGTTCAACCTTACACAGAGACCTAGGATATAAATACAATGCAGCCAAGTTCCTTGCTAGGATATAACAAGGGTAACCTTTGCTCCAGTTCTCAATAACTTCATGATTTTCATCTGAGACCTTATCAGCTTGGCCTTCGCTGTCCATATTTCTATGAGCAATTTGGTCATAATCACTTAACAAGTCTCTAAGAAGTTGCAAACTTTCCCTTGTCTTGCCATCTTCTTCTGGGATCTCCAAATTCTTCCAGTGTCTTCCCATTACTCAATTCTAAAGCCACTCTCACATTTTCAGGTATTTTTATAGCAATTCTCCACTCCTCAGTTCCAATTTTCTGTGTTAGTTCATTTTTGCATTGTCATAAAGACATATCTGTGACAGGATATTTCTGTTTCCACTCATGGCAGAAGGTGAAGAGGAAGCCAGCACATCACATGGTGAGAGCAGAAGCAAGATGGAGGAGGGGTAAGTCTCAGACTATTTAAAATAACCAGAACCCACAAGAACAAACCTAACAAAAACTCCCTCATTACCAAGGGGAGGGTGCTAAGTCACTCATGAGGGATCTGCCTCTGATCTGATACTTTCCACTAGGCCCCACCTCTGACATTGGGAATCACATTTCAAGATGGGATTTGGAGGGGACAGACATGCAAACCAGATTCAAGATAAGTGACTAGAAGCAGCCAGAAGGAACATCTGACACCAAGAGACTGGGACATTGAGAAGACAGGCACACTCTGAGCAGATCTTCAGAGTAAAGGCATTGAGAGTGGACAGAGGGATGACACAGAGGCTGGGCTGAAGGGAGTGGAAGCCAGCAACTCTGCATGGAGCTACTGCACACTGGGGCTCATTCATGGCCCTCAATTCCTGGGGGAGGAGCGAGGTGAACAGGCAAGAAGTGACTGCTCTCACCACAGACCTCTGGAATCCTGGCAACAGGAGACCCTATGAGCCCCATGGGCACTTGAGCTGGCAGGGAGAGCTTCTTAGAGAGGTGGTAGGGGCAGGACTCCAGCCTGTGCAGAGCCCAGGGGGTTTGGTGTGGAAACATCTGCAGTGGAGCATGGCCAGGGATACCCATCACCCAAGGCTCACTATGCTCCTCTAGGAGACATTAGCCTTAGGGGGCCTATTGGACATGAACAGAGCAGGGTGTCTTGCCTGTGAGATGGGTCCAGCCCAATCTGAGCAACTCCCCGTCTGCTGCCCCCACCCCCAGGACCACAGCCTGGCCATGCATGCTTACAGTGCAGCCTCAAATACCCAATCAAGATGTTTCCTGAGTGCCCTTATCACAGCTCCCTCACTGGCAGACTGCATCTGACCATGGAAAAGCACCAAAAGAGTGGCTCCCACCATCATGTACTATCCCACCCACACTGTTCCCCGACTGCAGCCTCTCCCATGCCACTCTTCCAGCATGCACTCACCTATAGCCACCTCCCCACCACATTGCTGGCATGTGAGACAGTGGGTAGACCTCAACTCCCTTCACTCACCGGCACATGTGTACACATGCACCCTGCACCACTGCTACTGGTATGAGGCCACCCCACCCCTGGCTGTGCCACCATGGTCAGCACAAATGCACACACAGATGCCAGCAACCCCACTCCCCCAACACAGCTGCTGCTGCTGACATGAACACACACACAATGACAACCCCAACCCCCGCATACGCCACCACCACCCCTGCTACTGCAAACACAGGCACAGAGGCTGGCAGCCCTGTGTGCAACAGCAGCCTGCCCCCACCACGGGCATTGCCAATGTGACCATGAATAGGAATGCCACAGCTCCACTCCCACTGGTACCCTACCACAGGTGATGAGCATAGTACCCTGCCGCACTGCCGCTATTGCTGGCACACATGAATGAACATGAATTCCACTGCTACTGCCCCAGTGAAGTACTTTGGCTGGCACCACCCATCAGAGTGCTATGGCCAATGGTCCAGGAATATCTCAGCTGCTCCAGCAAAGGTTTCTAACTTTGAGAGGCCAGAGAACAAAGCCAGAGGTCTGATACCAGCCCCCAGAGTTACAGCACACAACCCAAAAGCACTAGGCTGAGCTCTAGCCCCCTAAAACCTTCCAAAAATAAAGCCAGTTGACTGAACTCACATTATACCATTATCAAACCTGCAAGGGCATCAAAGAAGATAAAAGAACAAAAAAACATTCAAAGGATAGCAGCTTCAAAGACTGAAGGAATATCAGCCCACACAGATGAGAAAGAACCAGTGCAAGAACTCTGGCAACTCAAAAAGCCAGAGTGTCTTCTGACCTTCCAACAACCACACTAGTTCTCCAGCAATAAATTGGAATCAGGCTGAAATGACAGAAATAGAATACAGAGTAGGGATAAAAATGAAGATTGAGATTCAGAAGAAAGTCGAAACCCAATTCAAGGACTCTAACGAATACAACAAAATAATATGGAAGATGGATGATGAAATGGCCATTTTAAGAAAAAAAAAATCAGACTGATCTGATACAGCCAAAAAACTCACTTCAAGAATTTCACAATGCAATCACAAGTATTAACAACAGAATTGACCAAGCTAAGGAAAGAATCTCAGAGCTTGAAGACTAGTTCTCTGAATAACTCAGTAACCCAAAAATAAAGAAAAACCAGTAAAGAAGAATGAACAAAACCTCCTAGAAATATAAGATCAAATAAAGAGACCAAATTTACAATTCATGGATATCACTGAAAGAGGGACAGAAAGCAAGCAACTTGGAAAACATACTGAGAATATTGTCCACAAAAATTTCTCCAACTTTGCTAGACAGACTGATTTTCAAATTCAAGAAATGCATGCAGAGAATCCCTTAGAGATACTATACAAGATGACCATCCCTAAGACACATAGTCATAAGATTCATTCTGCAAGGTAGAAATAAAAGAAAAAATATTAAAGGTAGCTAGAGAGTAGGTGCAGATCACCTACAAAAGGAACCTCATCAGGCTAACAGTGAACTTTTCAGAGAGAAGCCCTATGAGCCAGAAGAGATTAGGGGCCTGTATTCAGCATTCTTAAAAGAATTTTCAACCAAGAGTTTCATATCCAGCCAAACTAAGCTTTATACCTGAAGAAGAAATAAGATTCTTTTAAGAAAAGCAAATGCTAAGGGAATTTGCTACCAACAGACCTGCCTTACAAGGAGTTTGTAAGGGAGTGCTAAATATGGAAAGAAAAGACCATTATTGGCCACCACAAAAACACACTTAAGTACATACACTAGTAACAATATTAAGCAACCACACAATCAAGTCTGCATAATCAGTTAACAACATGACAGTATCAAATCCACACATATCAATATTAACCTTCAATGTAAATTGTCTAAATGCCCCAATTAAAAGGCATACAGTAGCAAGTTCAATAAAGAAGCAAGACCCAACTGTATGCTGTCTTCAGGAGACCCATCTCACATACAATGACACCGCAGGTTCAAAGTAAAGTGGTGGAGAAAAATCTACCAAGCAAACAAAACAACAACAACAAAAAAAAAAAAAGAAAGAAAGAAAAAAAGAAAAAAGGAGGGGCTACTACTCAAATTTCAGACAAAACAGACTTTCAACCAACAATGGCCCAAAAAGACAAAGAAGGGCATTACATAATGGTAAAGGGTTCAATTCAACAAAAATACCTAATTGTCCTAAATATATATGCACACAACAAAAGAACACCCAGATTCATAAAGCAAGTCCATGGAGACCTACAAAGAGACTTAGATAACTACACACTAATAGTGGGAGAATT
This sequence comes from Homo sapiens, assembly GCF_000001405.40. Lineage (NCBI taxonomy): Eukaryota > Metazoa > Chordata > Mammalia > Primates > Hominidae > Homo > Homo sapiens. Next base: position 123,849,182 of record NC_000011.10, on the reverse strand, counting down.
CAATACCCTAATGACAGTATTAGATCACTGAGGAAGAACACTAACAAAGATATTCAAGATCTGAACTCAACACTTGACCAAACAGACCTAATAGACATCTGCAGAATGCTCCAACCAAAAACAGCAGAATATACATTCCTCTTATCTGCACATGTCATATACTCTAAAATCAACCACACTCGGGCATAAAACAATCCTCACCAAATTTTTCAAAACTGAAATCATACCAACCTCATTTTGGAACCACAGCACAATAAAAATAGTGATCAATTCCAACTACTTGGGAAGCTGAGGCAGGAGAATGGCATGAACCCAGGAGGTGGAGCTTGCAGTGAGCCGAGATCACACCACTGCACCTCCAGCCTGGGTGGCAAAGTGAGACTCCATCTCAAAAACAAAAGACAAACAAACAAAAAAAAGAAAATCTAGAAGAAATAAATTCCTGGATACATACAACTTCCTAATATTGAGCCAGGGAGAAATTTAATCCCTGAACAGACCTATAATGAGTTCTGAAATTGAGTCATTAATAAAAACCCTACCAACCAGAAAAACCTCAAGACCAGACTCACAGCTGAATTCTACCAGATGTATAAAGAAGATCTGGTACCATGCCTACCATTTCAAAAAACTGAGGAGGAGGGCTCCTCCCTAATTCATTCTATGAGGCCAGCATCATCCTGATACCAAAACCTGGCAAAGATGCAACAAAAAAAGAAAACTTCAGGCCAATATCCTCGATGGACAGAGATACAAAAATACTCATCAATATACTAGCAAACTGAATATAGCAGCAGCACATCAAAAAGCTGCTAATCTACCATGATCAAGTAGGATTTATCCCTGGTATGCAAGGTTGCTTTGACATACACAAATCAATAAATGTGATTCACCACACAAACAGAACTAAAAACAAAAACCACAGGATTATCTCAATGGATGCAGAAAGGGCTTTCAATAAAATTCAACAACACTTTATGTTAAAAACCCTCAACAAACTAGGCATTGAAGAAACTTAGTACAAAAAATTGAGAGCCTTCTGTGACAAACCCACAGCCAACATCATACTGAATGGGCAAAAGCCAGAAGCCTTCTCTTTGAAAATTGCAACAACACAAGGATGCCCTCTACTACCACTCCTATTCAACATAGTACTGGATGTCCTAGGCAGAGCAGTCAGGCGACAGAAAGAAATAAAAGGCAAACAAATATGGAAAGAGGAAGTCAAACTATCTCCTTTTACCATCCAACATAGTAATTCTGCTCTTAAGAATGTATCCAAGACAAATAAAAACAAATATTCACACAAAAACAGAAACTCAAATGTTCATAGATGTTATATTCATAATAGCCAAAATTTGAAACAACTCAAGTGCCCATTATCTGATGAATAGATACCCAAACTGTGGTATATCTACGCAATCTATACAATTGATCATCTTCAACAGTACAAAGGCAGAAGCGACTGATACCTGAATCATTTGTATTATTGTCAAAGCATCAATTTAAGTGAAAGGAGCAAGGTACAAAATACTATATGCTATAAGATTCCATTTATGTAAAATTTTAGAAAAATCAAAATTATATTGATATGAAACATGTCAGTGGTTTTCAGGAGCTGAGGCTGGGGAAGAAAAGCATTTATTGCAAAAGAGCACCAGAAAACGTTTTAAGGTAATGGAAATATTTTTAAAATATTGTCATGTTGATGACAGTGGCTATATGACTGTATACATGTGAAAATTTAACAAATTATACATTTTAAATTACTAATTATGTATAAAGCATACCTCAATAAATGGATTTTAAAATATCTACATATATATGTAAATAATCTCACTTTGAAGAGCAGTTGAAAGCCTATTTTAAGACATGATGAACATGTCAGATTTTTTTTAAGTTTTCCAAGTTTCTATTTCTCTGAGGCTTTAAAGCAGGTCTCTAAGTTTTTCCTGAAAACACCCAAGAGAGTTTTCCAGGAAACCTTAACTTTTTAACTATGATTAGTTACTTCAATTCTAACATTACTTGATTGCAGTAATAATAAACCTTTTCTATGCAATAGTCCCAAGAGCCATTCTAATCCCGATCTCTGAAGGTAAACAAAAAATCATTAAAGATCACAATTATAATCACTTTAATACAGGGAAGGTCATATTATTTTCTGGGGCGAGCAAATAAGGTAGATGTATCTAAAATCAAGTCACAATATGCCTGATGAATAAGCAGGAATACCTAAACAAAATGCTGAAGGTTAAAGAGATTACTTCACTGAATACAAATATAATATTTTCTAACAATCAAGAATGTTAAAGTAAAATAAGATGATTTAAGAATAGCAAGTTTAATGTCACTGGATAACTTGTTGAAGATATTGTAGAACTTTTTAGGACAAAGTTGGCTCAGATGCCCTTTAAGTTTTCTTCCAATCTGACATTCTGTGGGTTTGAAAACTTCAATTTTCTGGATGGATCCACTGAAGAAATAGAAATCGACTGGATAGACAGGAAATTACATTCCTACTGCTGAAAAAATAATTGAGAGTTCAGAAGCTTTCGATCATTTTACCAGTGATCTAAAATAGAAGTCAAGGACCTATGCTTAATTCAGTCGTGTCTAATGTCTTGATTCATTACCAAATCAAAATTCTTTTGGCAAAAATGTAGTCCTTGAAACTCAGAGGACTATTCGAAGTTTGAGATACACTAGATATGCAGGATGAAATGATTAAATAATGGTATAACACTTGGACTTAGTATAAATCAAGACTTAGACTTCTTCAATGGGACTAAGAAAAAGAACTGAGAAAAGTAATTAGAGGTTATAAAAAGATAGCTTCTCAATCAAGGGAAGACAGATGGAGTATTCCAGCCAAAATTGAATAACCATTCGGTATGGTTCTGCAAAGGGGATTAAGTGTGGTATAAGGAGGAGTCTCAGCTAAAACAGAGGTAGGTTTATAGAGAATTCAAAACTGGAGCAGTGAAAGCATTTAAAGAATAATGAATGATATGGAGTAGGAAAAAAATACTTGAAGTTCAAATTTCTTAACATATTTGAATGAAGAAATTACCAATCGTTCTACAAGCAGTGTAATGTAAGTATACTTTGTCATGTAATTATCTGTATTTATGTCAAACAATCTAAGTGTCACTTAAATTTGTTTATGGGTAATTTTATAAATTAAAATGTAATTACCATTCTGTCAAATATTTTATGAGGGAGGGTGTCAAATGTTATATCTTTATCCTAAGTATGTAATTAAATCTTTTAATATACTTCAGTAACAAACATTTTTACATTTTACTGATAGTAAAGAACTTAAGTTACATCTAATCCCCAACCTGCATCACATCTTATTTCATTTCTGTTCACCCTTTCCCAACCCTATGTTCTTAAGAAACATTTAGTGAGCACCTACTAGGTATAAATCACTGTGGTAGGCACTGTCTTAGGACCTTGAATCTGGTATTACTACTTTTGCCATTTTAGAGATGAGGAAGATAAAACTCAGGATGCTTAAGCATCCTATTAAAAGATCATAAAGCTACAAGTGATTAAACTAAAAATATAGCATATCATTGATTCTAAAACCTGCTACACTTTTTCCTATTATGCCACATTTTCCTGACTAATTCTTGAATCTTTAAATGTGCAATTTTACGCAATTTTCTAAGGATCCACAGAAATGTTAATGAGGGAACAAATGCCCCCAAAAATGAAAGCCTAAATTGTTACACACAGGTCTTTACAGTCCAGAGAGCCCAGAGCCTTCCTTCCTAGATATGATGAGGTCCTCAGGGCCCTGAGATAACCTTAAAAAGGCCATGTTCTTTTCAGAAGTTAAGAGGCTCCACAAAGGAGAGAGATGCTACGTATTCAGTTCTTCTCAGAGACGTACATTTGACCCAAAGTATAGCAAAATAGAAAGCTCGCAATACCATTTTTTTTTCCCATAGTGATAATTTTTTATGACAATCATGGCAAATAACAACTCTGTTTGTTTTCAACCACCACAGATTTTGATTGTTTAAAAATTGTATAATGCTTTTGAAAAGCCTGAGTTGCTCAATTTTTAAAATACCAGAGGGAAATCAAGCTCCTATCAGGGTCCTAAAAGACTACCTAGCAACAAAAAAAAAAAAAAAGTAAGACATTAAGGATGTTGTAAAGAAATTAGACAAATGAAAGGAACAATGGGATGATAGGCATTGAACAATGGGATGATAGGTATGAAAATCTTCATTATTCTGCCTTAAGATATCTGTCAGTCTTCAGTGTTATCAGTGATGAAGAGAGGAAGGGGAAAATGCAGGGGAATTCTAAAGCTTTTCTCCTTGTCTACATAGTGTGCTCTATTCTATTTTTGTATTCTATCTCAATAACATTATTACTTGCCTAACCAGATATAGTTTTTGCTCTTTGTGCTGTAGCCAATAGTTTAGAAGTTTATTGTCTGGGCAAAAGAGCAGTAGAGCGAGCGAGGAGAGAACATTAGAGTATTTGTGGTAAAAAGAGTTTCTATTGGTGCCAAGAGCCTATTTCAATAGATATTACTCTTTGGAATTCTTTAATAACTTAAAATCTAATTAAACAGCCCACCTTGTAACAATTCAAAAAATTACTAGAAGAAGTGGAATAATGCACTTTACTAATGTAAACTTCTCTTTTTATCATAGAATTTCACCTTTTTGTTTGTCTCCCACCTCTAAACTACGAAAGATCTTGATTAGGCATTGCGGTGTTTGGGTTTCTTCCCAAGCCCAGCATTAATATTGCAGGAAGCAGTTTTCCAAAACTACACAGATCCTGATAACTGGGCAAAGAAAAACACACCAAGAAAGTACAGGATGTGATAGAAGTCTGCACTGGATATGTGAAAATACAAGCTATAGAGGTTACCATTGCTTACCCTTGTGGCAGCTGCAACCTCATGCTTCAGGGAGAAGCTTCCCCAATTCTGATTTATTTATTTAGTAAATCAATGAGCACCTTCTGGGCTCAAAGGATGAGGTATGAAATAGATATGGCGTCTGACCTCATGAAAAACAAAAGAAATATTTAGACTGGGAAGGAATATGGAGAGGACCAATACTCATGGATTCAGAAACCAGGACCAAGGATGTTAAGGAAGTAAAAAGAGCTACTAAGCTCAACAGCAAGTCAAGTTATTCCATGCCACTTTCATTTGAAAATTACTCTTAAATAGACAAAAACCACTATGCATTTGTAAAGTGTACTTACCAACAGCTTAGAAATGTGAAAAAATTATAAGAAACCAGAATGTTCTTATATGGAACAGAGAAGATGAAGATAATTATTAAAATAACAAGGATACCTTGATTCATGAAAAAATGAGTAGTGAATAAAAATAAAGAAGCAACTACAAGAACCAGAAAAAGTCACAGCCAGATTTGCAAATGGAAATATGTTTAGAAAAAATGTCTTAGCTCTGAGACTTACCACAATTAAGATCATAGCATTTATTTTACTTATTTATCTAATTTTCTGTCTCTCTTAACTATACTGTAAGCTTCATAAGGGAAGTTTTTTGTTGTTAACATTTTTGCTTTGTTTTTGCTTTATATTTTTTGTTTTCCTCTGATATAGCTCCAGCACCTGAAAATTTGCATGATGCACGGCATATGCTAAAGAAAACTATGTGTTAATTAAAAGAATGAATAAATGAAAAAATAATAATAGTAACAGCTTCTGGCAGGTCACTTTTCCCAGGTAGAGAGTCTGAGGAAATGGCCTCCCTTAAAGAGGAATTCTGTGTGCACCACGTTAAAAAATTTACCTAGTTCAGAGATATAAATTAGTTGTTTTAACTTGAAACTAGAGCACTGGTCACAAAATAATATACCAGAGGACAGTGCTTCAGCTGAATTACATAGACATGAAACAGATCTTCGGTGAAGCAGGGCAGTATTCAGAGATTAAGCTGAGTGTTTCATATACATCTTTTCGATAGATCAAATACATGTTTCGGCATCCACTTTTTTGCAGTATTATTAATAACCTACTCTTCAAATGGCTGGGAAAAAAATGCCGTGTATAAAAGACTTCTTTGGGAAAACCTGTAAGAATCAGTTGGAGAAGGAAAGGGGAAACGTTTGTTGTTCTTTTGGATGCTGCCATGAATGTAACATGGCAACAAACAACAAAATAACAACAAATAATCATTTTTCCATCAGATTTTTTTCAAAATATTTAAAATAGGTTACACAGATTATGAATTATGTATCATGGACCTACTTGTTCCATAACAGTGTAGACATCAAAACATTTCTATTATATAAAGTAAAAACAAAGAAAAACTAAGTAGGGAAAGACTGATTGATTAGAGTAATTTGTGTCCAATTGTCTATTACACTGATATTCAAAACATGGTAACAATAACAAAAATGAGTAGAGGTAAATGTTGACTCCCCTCGATTTAACTGTCTTGGCCAGTTTTAACAGTTTCTGTTCTTTGATTTAGAAGATATCTTCAAAGTTGAAATAACTTTGAGAAAAGTAACAAGTTTTTTTTGTTTTTTGTTTGTTTTGAGACAGTCTCACTCTGTCACCAGGCTGAAGTGCTGTGGTGTGATCTCAGCTCACTGCAATCTCCGCCTCCTGAGTTCAAGCAATTCTCCTGCCTCAGCCTCCCGAGTAGCTGGGACTACAGGCACCCGCCACCGTGCCCAGCTAATTTTTGTATTTCTAGTAGAGACAGGGTTTCACCATGTTGGCCAGGATGGTCTCAATATCTTGACCTCGTGATCCGCCCACCTCGGTCTCCCAAAGTGCTGGGATTACAGGTATGAGCCACCTCACCGGGCCTAACTCAAGTTTTATTAACCTTCTTTTTCTCAATTTTTCAAATAATTGACCAGATTCTCAGTTTAGTATGCCTCTCTTTTTAAGAACAGAATTTAGCTGGGAAAGTAGTAGGTCAGGAAGAGCAAAAAAGAGACAGGAAGGAGCATTGTGTAAAAGAGACTAAAATCATAAAGACTAGAATTATAGGGACCATGAGGATAATTTCATTCAATCAAAACTTTGAAATATGAGAATACTGAAGTTAGAAGAAGTAATGTCATTTACCCAAGGGACCACATTTAATAAAGTCAGAAGCAGACTGTGAACGAATCACTCTTGACTCCTCACACAAAGTTTTTTCTATTTCACTCTTATCACAGATATTGGGAGTTGAAAACTTCCGTAAGTTGAGCATCATCTCTGCATTTTATCTTTTTTTTTTCAGAGATGTGCTTCCCACTAGGCATTGCCTGCAGTGGACATCCAAAATCAGACCACAGTGACTGAGTTTACCCTGACGGCCTTTCCTGTTCTTCAGCAGCTTCAAATTTCCCTTTTTGCAGTCCTCTTGTTTACTTATATGCTTACTCTAACAGGAAACGTTGCCATCATTTCCCTAACATGTGCGAATCATCGCCTCCAAACCCCAATGTACTTCTTCCTCAGTAATTTGTCAATTTTGGACATTTTTTTCACCACCTCAGTTATCCCAAAGCTATTAGCCTGTCTCCTGCAGGACAAGAAGACCATATCTTTTGCTGGGTGCATCACCCAAACTTATTTCCTTTGTTTTCTTGGGGACAGTGGAGTTTATCCTCTTGGCAGTGATGTCCTTTGACTGCTACGTGGCCATCTGTGACCCCCTGCACTACACCATTATCATGAACAGCAGGGCCTGCCTCCTACTAGTTCTGGGCTGCTGGGTTGGAGCCTTCCTGTCTGTGTTGTGCCCAACCATTGTGGTGTCCAGATTGCCTTTCTGTTACAAGGAAATTAGTCACTTCTTCTGTGACATCACCCCTCTGCTACATGTGTCCTGTATAGACACTCATTTCATCGAGATGATAAACTTCCTCTTATCTTCCCTCATCCTCCTGACCTCACTGGTGCTCACCACTGTGTCCTACATCTACATCATTTCTACCATCCTGCACATCCCCTCAGCCCAAGGACGTCGGAAGGCCTTTTCCACGTGCGCTTCCCACATCACCGTCATTTCCATCGCTTATATAAGCAACATCTTCAGGTATGTGAGGCCCAGCCAGAGTCATTCAATGGGTTTTGACAAGGTGACAGCTGTCCCCACAATGGTGACCCCTCTTCTGAATCCCTTCACTTATAGTCTAAGAAATGAAAAGGTAAAGGCAGTCTTGAAAGAAGCAGTCAGCAAAATTATGTCCTCATGGCACAGGAGAACTTAAAACTTTAACCAAGCTTTTCTGCTCAGAATGGTTATTTTCATCTCTAGCTCAGTGTGGAGAAAGACAGATTTAGACACCAGAAAATCAAAGGCATATGGGAAGGTATGAATAGGCTCAGTGCCGCATCAGAGGCAAAGTACTGTAGTCACAGTTTAGAAGAGACAATTCAGCCATAGAGAAAATGACATTCCCTGAACTCTATGATTGAACCACTGTGCATTCACAATATCATGGATTAATGAAAAATACAAAACTAAAATCAAAAAACCTAAATTTTGAGCCTGGCTTTATCACCCTTTTTTTTTTTTTTTTTTATCGAGTGACACTTAGCCTATCTGACCATTTGTTTTCTCATCTGTGAAATGGGGACGTTGTGCTTTTTCTTTTTGTTGTTGTAGGCTTAGCTAAGATGGTCTAAGAAATGAAACCACATATAATTAAAAACAAACACTTCTACTAGTTCTTTTCAGATGTTGCAAGCCTTCAACCTTGATAGTTAAATATTATATAATAATAGTAACAATAGCAAGGAAGGAATAATAATAATAACAATAACATAATCCAGGGTTTATACAGTATACTTAAATATATACACATGTATTTCATTTATTCCTCCTAATAACCTTAGAAAGCTGATATCATTATCTCCATTTTACAGATGAGAAAACTGATGTTTACAGAGGTTAAGCATCTTGCCCCAAACTACATCATTGGTAAGTGGCAGAAATTTAGAATATGTGAACTTCAGACTCCTTTAGCACTCCACTATATTATAAAGTGTGGAAGGAAAACTTAAGAGGGGAAACCAAATTAGCCTGGAAGCTACCTTCTTTTTCTGAAGCCAGAAGCCAACAGTTAGACAGACCTGCAGATCAAGGCAGACCAGAAGTGGGATACAATTAGAATGGACTGAGAGGCAATTTGGTTTGAAAGGAAAACTATTTATTCAGAAGCCATAACTGACCATGAGTCTAGACTGATCATCTATAGCAACTGGCGAATATGGCCATCATATACAGAAGATGATCTTAGCATTCATTTGGTTGAGGAAAAAAAAAGTATCAGAAAACTAATCAAGCTTGCTTAAGTAAACTATGTACTTATCATAATAATCAAAAGTGCCATATGGAACCCCAGAAAATAAGAAACATCAAAACCTGCTAAGTGACAAAAAGAAGGAACTAGAAATTTGTAAGGAGCCAAGGTAGGTATTCTCTTCTCTTTAAGTCTCTGATTTCTCCTTAGGTCTCTCTGTAGCTGTATTTCTCTGTATTATTTTTCTCCATATACTTTGTGGTAGGCTGAATAATGGCCCCTAAAGATATCCAGGTTCTGACCTCTGGAAACGGTGAATGTTATCTTATGTGGCAAAGAGATTTTTGTAGATGTGATTAAGTTAAAGTTCTTGAGATGGGGGATTATCCTGGATTACCCAGATGCGCCCTACATGTAATCCCAAATGTCATCGTAAGAGCTAGGCAAAAGGAGATTTTATTACAAAAATGAAGGCCATGTGACGATGAAAGCAGAGAGAGATTTGATGCTGCTGCTCTGCTGGCTTTGGAGACAGAGGAAAGGGCCACAAACCAAGAAATAAACCTCCGAAAGCTAGAAAAGGCAACGAAGCTGATTTTCTCCCACAACCTCCAGCATGACTCTGCCAACACCTGGGTTTCAGCCCAGTGAAACTGTTTTTGGATTTCTTGCCCTCAGAACTGTAAAATAATACATTAGTGTTGTTTTAAGCCACCAAGTTTGTGGTAATTTGTTACAGCAGCCATAAGAAACTAATATACACCTGATTTGCTTTTCTGTCTCTGCAGTGTTTTTTTCCACTTTTCTGTGCACATGGAAGATAGCTGC